>NW_025791799.1:0-87715 GCF_000001405.40 Homo sapiens
TCCTTTTCCCCAGTGCACTGCCATAGAGATCCCTTTGGAGAAGGCTGGGAAAAGACGAACAGGATAAATTTGGGGGGTCCTTCCTCAAGGCACCCTGGTCCCCTCCATACAGCGGTGTGGGTCTGAATGGAGGTTTTAGGTCTGTGACCTGGCTCCAGTCTGGGAATTCACTGAGGGCCGTGGTTCTGGTTTTTCTCGGGAGATGGGTTTTTTGTTTGTTTGATTGGTTGGGGTTTTTTTTTTTTTTTTTTTTTTTTGAGACGGAGTCCCGCTCTGTTGCCCAGGCTGGAGTGCGGTGGCGCGATCTCCGCTCACTGCAAGCTCCGCCTCCCGGGTTCACGCCATCCTCCTGCCTCAGCCTCCGGAGTAGCTGGGACTACAGGCGCCCGCCACCACGCCCGGCTAATTTTTTTGTATTTTTAGTACAGATGGGGTTTCACCGTGTTAGCCAGGATGGTCTCGATCTCCTGACCTCGTGATCCACCTGCTTCAGCCTCCCAAAGTGCTGGGATTACAGGCGTGAGCCACCGCGCCTGGATGTTTTGTTGTTGTTGTTGTTGTTTTTGTTTTTGTTTTTGACGGAGTCTCGCTCTTGTTCCCCAGGCTGGAGTGCAATGGCGCAACCTCAGCTCACTGCAACCTCCACCTCCCAGCTTCAAGCAATTCTCTTGCCTCAGCCTCCCGAGTAGCTGGGATTACAGGCACCCGCCACCACGCCCGGCTAATTTTTGTATTTTTAGTAGAGACTGGGTTTCACCATTTTGGCCAGGCTGGTCTAGAACTCCTAACTTCAGGTGATCCTCCCACCTTGGCCTCCCAAAGTGCTGGGATTACAGGGGTGAGCCACCACGTCCGGCTGGAGGGTTGTTTTTTTTTGAGACAGGGTCTCACTCTGTCACCCAGGCTGGACTGCAGTGGCATGATCAAGGCTCACTGCAGCCTCAGCCTCCTGGGCTCAAGCAATTCTCCTGCCTCAGCCTCCTGAGTAGCTGGGACTACAGGTGTGTGCCACCGTGCCTAGTTAATTTTTGTATTTTTTGTAGAGATGGCAGGGGTGGGGGTCTCAGTATGTTGCCTAGGCCGGTCTCAAGCTCCTGGGCTCAAGTGATCCTCCTTCCCCGGCCTCCCAAAGTGCTGAGATTACAGGCGTGAGCCACCATGCCCAGCCTAACTCTGGGTTTTTTATTTGTCTTAGACTTTTGTTCACTTGACCTAGAACTCTTCTGCTTACACAGATTAAGTAAGATTCAGTCAGCCTGGTGCGGTGGCTCATGTAATCCCTGCACTTTGGGAGGCCGAGGCAGGAGGATCACCTGAGGTCAGGAGTTCGAGACCAGCCTGGCCAACTTGGTGAAACCGCGTCTCTACTAAAAATACAAGAATTAGCCGGGAGTGGTGGCGCATTCCTGTAGTCCCAGCTACTCCGGAGGCTGAGGCAGGAGAATTGCTTGAACCCGGGAGGCAGAGGTTGCAGTGAGCGAAGATCGCGCCCCTACACTCCAGCCAGGGCGACAGAGTGAGAATCTGTCTCCAGGAAAAAAAAAAAAAAAAAAAAAGAGTTCAGTCGGCTTCTGTCTATTTCACTTCTGGGAACACCATGATCCACAAGTCAACGCTGTGGGTCTCTGTGAGTCAGACTATTGTGATCGCTGGTTCACCTCTGCTGTGCACTGCAGCGGCCACGCCCACCTTGTTTTGAGCCTTTGAGCCCTGCCACCTGGCCCCTGCCCCCCAGGGGATCCACTTATTCCCCTGCACGTAGGTTTCCCAACCCAGGGACTGCAGTTGCCACTGTAATTCCAGATCTGCTGGAGAAAGGCCATCACAGAGCTCATGAAGGAGGAGTGTTCCCCTCACAAATTTATTTCTCGTGGGGGTGGTAAGAGGTGTGTCCTCTCTCCTCTCCAGGGGTGGGTGAGTAGGTCTCAAAAGATAAATCCACTCTGACACTCCAACCTCCCCAAGCCTTTGAGTCCCATCCTCTGCCACGCAGAGAGGCAGGCCTGGCATTTCAGCCTCACTTTGTGTAGGTCACTTTTTGGTCTGTGTTGTAGCTCACCAACCAACCAGTCAAACCCCAGCAGTGGTAGCACGAGGTCCAGAACCTCTGCTTAGTGGGCCCGTATCAATAAACGCAACCTGACCCAATTTTTTGTTCCTTTCCCCATTATCCCTACTGTAGGGTCTCCTGGTTCCCCCTGCTTTTTTTTTCTTTTCTTTTCTTTTTTTTTTTTTTTTGAGACAGAGTCTCGCTCTGTCGCCCAGGCTGGAGTGCAGTGGTGTAATCTCAGCTCACTGCAACCTCCACCTCCCAGATTCAAGTGATTCTCATCCCTCAGCCTCCCAAGTAGCTGGGATTACAGGCATGCGCCACCACACCCAGCTAATTTTTGTATTTTTAGTAGAGATAGGGTTTCACCGTGTTGGCCAGGCTGGTCTTGAACTCCCGACCTCAGGTGATCCACCCATCTCAGCCTCCCAAAGTGCTGGGATGACGGGCATGAGCCACCACACCTGGCCTCCCCTGCTTTCTTTCTGTGTCCTGACCAAGAATCACAAAGTGCAGCCAGGCATGTGGCTCACGCCTGTAATCCCAGCACTTTGGGGGACTGAGGCAGGAGGATTGTTTGAGCCTAGGAATTCAAGACCAGCCTGGGTGAGATGGTAAGGCCCTATCTCTAATTTTTTAAAAATTAAATTAAAAAATTCTAGGCTGGGTGCAGTGTTCGAGATCAGCCTCGCCAACATGGCGAAACCCTATCTCTACTAAAAATACAAAAATTAGCCAGGCATACTGGCGAGCGCCTGTAATCCCAGCTACTCAAGAGGCTGAGGCACAAGAATTGCTTGAACCCAGGCGTGAGACGGAGGCTGCAGTGAGCCGAGATCTCACCACTGCACTCCAGCCTAAATGACAGACCAAGACTCTGTCTCCAAAAAAAAAAAAAAAAAAAAAAATCTAGGTTGTGGGCTAAAACACTGAAAGAAACTGGCCCAGCCCTGAGCCAAATCCCTTAAACTTCCATATCCACTCCACACCGTGTCCCCTTGCTGCAGAGATATCAAGGGAGGGCACCTCTTCTCTCTCGCTTTTGTTGCAAGGATACGCTGCGGCCTTCTGTAAGTCCCCCTAATAAATGCTCTGGAGTGCTCACCCTGGCGTTTAGCGTTCCTTAGTTCAGATCCCAACTGGCCCCATCTTGCAATGCTTTGGGGCCATCCTGTGCCCTTTGGGGCACTCCTGGCCACCGCTTTTGGGGCGATGCCAGCTGTGGGTTCTGCAGGGTGAAACATCCACCCTTAAAATCCACTCCCACATGCTCCCCGGATTTCTGTGGGTATAAATTGGGAAAATGGTGCATTTCTTGTGGAGCCTTGTTCCGTGCCCTCCAGGGCCTGGGGCAGGCCCCATGTGTGCTGAGCCTGTGCACATGCTGTGCCCATCACTGCTGAGCTAAGCCCTCCTGAGTCCCCCTCCCTGACCCCTGGAGCTTCCTCCACACATCCTAGCATCATTACTCTGCTGCAGTTGCTCCCAGCCCTATCATCTTCTGACACTACCTCACTACCAGGTCTCCCCAGCTATGCTGTGAGACCTTGAGCGCGGGGTCTCACCTATCTCGTTCACAGCTGCACCCCCAGCCATATTTTTTTTTGCAAATATTTACTGAAAGGATACTCAGTAAATATTTGCAAAAAAAGGTTTTTGGGGGGTTTTTTTTGGAGGCACAGTCTCTGTTGCCCAGGCTGGAATGCAGTGGCAGGATCTCATGTCACTGCAACCTCTGCCTCCTGGGTTCAAGCCATTCTCCCACCTCAGCCTCCCGAGTAGCCAGGATTACAGGTGTGTGCCACCACGCCTGGCTAATTTTCATATTTTTTAAGTAGAGACGGGGTTTCCTCATGTTGGCCAGGCTGGTTTTGAACCCCTGACCTCAGGTGATCCTCCTGCCTCGGCCTCCCGAAGTGCTAGGATTACAGGCGTGAGCCACCATGCCTGCCTTTTTTAACTATATAAAGGCCTGACACTCATGTCCTGGCATCTCTGATGTTGTTAATAAAGACAGCAGGGCCGGGGCAAGGTGGCTTACATGTGTAATCCTAGCATTTTGGGAGGCCAAGGTGAGAGGATCATTTGAGTCCAGGAGTTCAAGACCAGCCTCGGCAACATAGTGAGACCCCATCTCTACAGAAAAATGTAAAAATTATCCAGCATGGTGGTGCCCACCTGTGGTCCCAGCTACTTGGGAGGCTGAGGTGGGAGAATCACTTGAACCTGCGAGGTCAGTGCTGCAGTGAGCCACGCTGCACCACTGTACTCCAGCCTGGATGTCAGAGCAAGACCCCACCCCATCTCAAAACAAAAAAAAAGACAGTACATCTGAATGTTTCATTTGTCTATGGATTTCCACCTGATTACTCCAGAAAGTAATTACTTAAGATGGGGGGTGATTTCAGCATCACCCACCCTCCTATATGGCCAGGCCTCCGAGCATGTACAGTAAGGCACAGTCACCACACCTTGGGAAGGGCCTCCCTGCAGGTGTGCACTGCAGGCCTCAGCCCTGTGCTGGTTAGAGTTATGGAGCAACAGCCGCTTTCCTAAGCAGAAGTGAGGCAAGCTACTTCCGCACAGATTGTGAAACAGGGTTTAGGTTTCTCCCCTCGTGGACGAGAGGCCAAGGGTGTGCCCCATCAGCCTGCCTTCCCAGCAGGTCACAGACCATCCCCACTCTGGCTGGCCTGGAAGGGTTTGACCAGAGCGGATCATGCAGTGACCAGGGCCAGGGCGGCTGGCAGGGGCGGCCTCCGTTTCCATTCTGTCTCCTAAGCAGCCTGGGAGATGTGGGCCTAAGCTTCGGTGAGGACGAGAGTCTGTCTTGGAATTGGGCCTCACAGGGGAGAGTCCAGAGACAGGGCCAGGAAAAGAAGGTGAGGGTGTAACGTCATTCAGAGACCAGCTGCACCCAGGGCTCACCTCCTGGAGGCACCTAGAGTGAGCAGGGGGCTAAGTCAGCCGACAGTGTGGCTGCACAGCCCAGGCCTGTCCCAGCAGAAGGCATGAACCATCAGCAAATGAGTCTCTTTTCCAAGAAACGAAAAGGTCTTGTTCAGAGCCGGGGCCTTGGGAGTGTCCTGATGTTTCAACCACTGCGCCCTGCCTTCCTGTCTCGACGCCCAGGGTTCCAACTCCAAGGTGGAATGGCCAACGTGTGGCCTCAGTGTGGTGGCCGTCTGGGGTGGGTGTGGGCTGCCCGCCTAGTGACCCTGGGAGGCAGAAGTTTCTTTGCCTGAAAGAGAGGAGAGGGGGCGGAAAGTATGCGGGGACAGAAAGCAAGCAGGGGCGGAAAGCCGGGCGCGGGGGCGGTGGAAAGCCAGGGTAGGGGCAGAAAGCAAGTCACTGCAAGGCAGAGCTTCAGGTGCCGTTCCCTGCGCTTTCACACTCTGCCCTGGCCTGCAGGCCACAGGGGAGCTGAAAAGACCAGATGCCCGACTCAGGGGAGTCTGTGTACCCCATTTTGTTCTGACATCCACAGGAGAACCCAGAATCTCTTCTCCCTCCACTCACACGGAGGACAAATAACAACAAAAGGACGAAAACATCGCAGGTTTACCACGCACCAGATCCTGACAGGCTGCTCGCTCAACCCCACAGCACGGTGATGGCCACAAGCGTGTGCTGTTAACAGCCCCATTTCAGGCGAGGCAGTGGCTCAAGCCTGTAATCCCAGCACCTTGGGAGGCCAAGGCCCAGAGGAGTTCAAGACCAGCCTGGGCCACATAGTGAGACCCCCATCTCTATAAAAATTTTAAAAATTGGCTGGGTGCGGTAGCTCACGCCTATAATCCCGGCACTTTGGGAGGTTGAGACAGGCAGATCACCTCAGGTCAGGAGTTCCAGACCAGCCTGGCTAACATGGTGAAACCCCGTCTCTACTAAAAAATCAAAAATTAGCCAGGCGCGGTAGTGGGAGCCTGTAATCCCAGCTACTCGGGAGGCTGAGGCAGAAGAATCACTTGAACCTGGGAAGCAGAGGCTACATTGAGCTGAGATTGGCCATTGCACTCCAGCCTGGGTGACAGAACAAGACTCTGTCACCAAAAAAAAAAAAAAAATTAAAAATTAACCAGGTGTGGGCTGGGCGTGGTGGCTCATGCCTATAATTCGAGCACTTTGAGAGGCCAAGGTGGGCAGATCACCTGAGGTCAGGAGTTTAAGACCAGCCTGGCCACCATGGTGAAACCCCGTATCTACTAAAAATACAAAAATTAGCTGGGCGTGGTGATGCGTGCCTGCAATCCCAGCTACTTGGGAGGCCAAGACAGGAGAATTGCTTGAACCAGGAGGCAGAGGTTGCAGTGAGCTGAGATCGCGCCACTGCACACCAGCCTGCACGACAGAGCAAGACTCCATCTCAGAAAAAAAAAAAAAAAGGATGAGGATTCATCAAGCTATTATTGTGTGCCAGGCCCAGGTGCACGTGACACGCAGCTGTCCTCACAGCCCTGCTACCACCGCCACTCTGCAGAGGAGGAGGCAGGCTCTGAGCGGCTAAGAAGCAAGGCCACAGTCCTAGCCAGTGGGAGACACAGCCGCACAGACTGGGGCCTCAGGCTCTGCCTGCCCCGCCCCTGACTCTAGCCTCTGGGAAAGGCCAGGCCTCTGAGGAAAACCATTTGCCACATTCTCACGCTGAAGCCCCTTTTTGGGACAGTCATGATCAACCAAGCGAGGAAGCGGAACACCAGCTCCTTTGCCCCTGCGCTGCAGCCACCTTTCTGGGGGATCCTGGACAGTTCCCAGGCAGCGTGACTTGGTGGCCCCATACCTTGTCATGGTAAGTGGACAAGCACAAACACTGGGCCCCCCAGCCTGGGCTCAAAGGCCAACAGGCCTGGCCCCAGCTGTGCAAAGCAAGCTCACCTTTAGGGACAAACTTCAGCGAGCTGCTGAATATTCAGAATCGGGACTGCCCCGGCTTGGGGCCGTCGTTCAGGAACTCGTGGCCCAACCCATTGCCACACTTGCCACAGGACACCTGGAAAGATCACAAGGCAGCTGGGTGAGCTTCTGGCCATGATACAGCCACAGTGAAGGCCCTTACTGGGGCTGGCAGATGGTGTTTCTTCCCACACGCCTATTTCCCAAGCTGACCGCCGACATAAGAGGTTGACCTTTGTCCTGGAGCCCGTACAGGAAACCTGTCCTGTTTCCCACATTTGCACCAGAAGGCCAGGCTCTCCCGATAGCCTGGGGTGGCAGCTCCCTGGCAGAGGCAACAGGCCTGGAATAGACGCCTCTAAGCCCCTGGAGCTGTGGGGCAAGCAGAGGGAGGAAGGTGGGACTGGCTCTCTGCTCTCCCTGGCCGCCCCCGTCCCTCCCCCACCCCTGTGGCCTCTCACCTTCAAGGCTTCAGATCTATTGTGCTCCGGACGCTTGGCCACGCTGTCGGCGTGAATGGTCTCGGTGAACGCCGGCCATGGAGACGAGTGTGCATACTTCGAGCGGCTGGAGAACAGCTCATAGCCACACTTGGCACACACGTAAACGCCTGTGGTGGAAGGAGAGGCAAATGTGGAGTCATCAGCTCCCGCCTTTCCGGGGTCAAGCTCCCAAATCCACCAACCCAGGCAAAGACAGCGCTGCCCCCGTTCCGAGGGTAGGCTGTGCTCCTTCCCCAGGCACCCGCCACGGGAGGCGCTGTGCTGAGCTCACGTTTAGTAGATGTGCCAGAGACCAGGGGAGTCACCTTTCACAATTATCTCCTTGATTCTTCTCATAGCCCCGTGACGGGGCATATCCTAACATTTCCATCTTTGCTTGGTGATGCAGACACTCAGCTACAAGTGTGTGCAGCGTGAAGGAACCTGGGTAGTCCAATGAGGACACGGAGCTCCCCCTCGCCCCCCTAGTTCCCCCAGGAACATAGAGGGCAGGGGCCCTGATGTGGCCCAACCACCTGGTCCCTCTCCTTTCTCAAGTGGTCCTCCCTGCTGCCCAACGAGGCCCTAAGCTGGATACCCAGGCACTGCTCTGCTCTCCAGGCAGGAAGAGAACAGTCCCAGAGAAAAGGCCTCCAGGCCACACAGGAGCCCAGGAAGAAAGAGGGCTGGGGACAACAGATTTCAGCCTACCCACAAAGGATCCCTTTGGAGTGGAGGGGGTGGGAAAGTTGCAAAACTGACTTGCAGAACTGTTTTAAGGACTGAAAACAGGAACCTCCAGGGGTGCTGAGTCACCTCTCACCCATCACCTGGGGACAGCCTCCCCTGGAGACTGTAAACTACCCAGCCTTTTCCAGGAACTGGAGAAAAAAGCAAAGAGAAGCCAGCAGCTGCTGTGGAAGTGGAGTTTCTGGCTTGGCAGAGCAGCCTGAGGACAACTGGGATCTAAAGCCAGAGAGTCTTGCTGGGGGAGGCTTTGCCGGGATGGTCCTGTGTCACAGCCCAACCCGCTACAGGGGTGCCACCCAGCAGATCCGCCCAAGGAGACCAGTGCACTCAGACTTGCCTGTGGATGTGTTTTTACCAAATTAGTCCACTACCAGGCGAGCCCAGCCCAGAAGGGATTCATCAGGGCCAGTGTGGAGGGCTGGCCATGCCCCAAACCACCCCATCCTGCCTGCCTGGTCAAACTTCACGGGCTGTTGGCAGGTGCCTGGTGGCACTCCTGGTTCCCCAATTTGGAGTCCCTGGGCAGGTGGGGAGGCACCTGGGCCGGCACATTAGGATCTGAAGGGGACATTCTATGCTTGCCAGACTCCTCCCAGAGATCCCGGACTCGGGGGAATGGGAAGGGCCAGGGTAACACCTGCGGGATGACCCGCGAAGGGGCGCCCCGGCCACAGGAGCTGGCCCTGGACAAGAACCTGGCCTCTCCGAAGCCCCGACCCTAACCCGAATTCCCCCAGCGCCATCACTTTGGAGTGTAGGGGGTAGGGAAGGGGTACCACCCCCACGTATCCCGATCCCTTAGACCCACCCCCGAAACGGCACGTTCACACTCGAGGCCTGCCCCCTCCAGGACGGTGAGCCCCAAGGCCCCCTCTCCTCGGGTACCCCACTCTCCTCGCCCCCAGGCTCCCCACTCCTCCGCAGTCCTTTTGACCCCTGTTCGCTTCTCCCCGGCAGCCACATTCGCCCCCATTCCCGGCTTGGGAGAGACATCACCCCCGGACGACGGCGGCGCCCCCGCTAATGCGCGCCCCCCGCCGCGCTGCCCTCCCAGCGAGAGGCCGCAGGACCAACCAGGTTCAAAGTGATTCTGGAAAACCTCGCCCCCGAAGAAGCTGCAGAACGACATGGCGCCACCGGAACCGCAGCGCGCTTGCCGCTGCCAACTGACCAAAGGCTGCCGACCCGACGACCGCCGGTACCCGCGTCCACCTCCCCGCCCCTCCCGAGGACCAATCGCTCCCCGGAGGGCGAATCCCGGCTTCCGCCTCCGGGAGGCCCCGCCCCTCCTCAGGGCTGGTCCAATACGATCTTCCCAGCTGGCCCCGCCCACGTTGACTCCTTGGGACCACTCCTGGGCCACTTCCCCAAGGCCCCGCCCCCCGGTGCCAGTCCAATCGCATCTCCCCAGCAGGCCCCGCCCATGGAAACTCCCAGGGACCACCCCTAGGCCGCTTCCCCAAGGCCCCGCCCCTGCCGCCCCTCGCGCCCTGGTGGCTAGGGGCGCACATGGGGCCTGGCCAGGTGGGCGACGGCGCGAATCCGTAGGGTCGTGTCCCCCCAGTCCAGTCCCTGGTACTAAGCCCGGAGCTGCCGGAGGTCATGCAGCCTTTCCGCGCCCAGGTGAAACCGCCTTTGCAAAATGATGACTGAAACAGTGAAAGAGATCTAACTCAGCCGACTCTATCTTGCTTCTAACCTCCAAGCTGTCCTTATTCATCCCTGCTGGTAGGTTGAAATAACTTTGGGAGAAACTCAGTTTATAGTTTTTTGTTTTTTTCTTTCTTTCTTTCTTTCTTTTGAGACGGAGTCTTACTCTGTTTCCAGGCTGGAGTGCAGTAGCGCGATCTCAGCTCACTGCAACCTCCAACTCGCTGGTTCAAGCAATTCTCCTGCCTCAGCCTCCCGAGTAGATGGGATTACAATCATGCGCCACCACGCCCAGCTAATTTTGTATTTTTAATAGAGACGAGGTTTCTCGATGTTGGCCAGGCTGGTCTTGAACTCCCGACCTCAGGTGATCCGCCCATCTTGGCCTCCCAAAGTGCTGGGATTACAGGCGTGAGCCACCGCGCCCAGCCAGTTTATAGTTTAAAACAAAGACAGTAACAGCCCTTTCCCAAAGCAGACCACCTCCTTGCCTGGGGACTAGATTGCATTTTTAGGACTAACATTAGCCACAATATTGGGAATTATGGTTTAGGAGTCGTGCATCTGGAGGCTACAAGATTCTGACCCTCCCTAAGCTGCCCCTAAGATCAGTGCTTGAGATATTTTGCCGACCCTGCAACTTGATGGATCTGCTGGCACCAACCAGATTGATAAACTGGCTCATCTGATCTTGTGGCCACCACCCAGGAGCTGACTCAGCGCAAGAAGACAGCTGACTCCCTGTGATTTCCTCCCTGACCAATCGGCTCTCCTGGCTCACTGGCTCTCCCCACCCGCCAAGTTATCCTTAAAAACTCTGCTCCCCGGCACTCCAGCAGCCTGGGCGACAAGATCAAGACTCTCTCAAAAAAAAAAAAAAAAAAAACCTCTGCTCCGCAAATGCTCAAAGAGATCGATTTGAGTAATAATAAAACATAAAACTCCGGTCTCCCGCACAGCCAGCTCTGTGTGAATTACTCTTTCTCTATTGCAATTCCCCTGTCTTAATGAATCGGCTTTGTCTAGGCAGCAGGCAAGGTGAACCCCTTGGGCGGTTACACAGCGCTCTGAGACCTCGCAGGAAGAGTCGCCTCCGGCCTTTGTTAGACATTGGGGCAGACAGTGCGGTGCGCTTCAGGGTTCATCCACCCCACACAGCCTACAAGTCTCCCGAGGTCTCCGGCGTTTCCTTCTCCAGATGCTTCTTTTGGGGGCCCTGGTTGAGAGGGTGGTGCAGGAGGAGCCTTAGTCACTCTGGCCAGAAACACGCCCTCCCCCAGCCAGGCTCTAGATCACTCAGGGCCGGCCCTACTGCCCCCCTAAGGCTGCTTCCTCCCCCACCTTCTCTTCTAAAGAATCAGTGCCCAGGGATAGACCCTTAAGAGTCTCTCCTGCAGGCCGGGCACGGTGGCTCATGTCTGTAATCCCAGCACTTTGGGAGGCCGAGGCGGTCGGATCATGAGGTCAGGAGATAGAGACCATCCTGGCTAATACGATGAAACCCCATCCCTACTAAAAATACAGAAAATTAGCCTGGCGTGGTGGCACGTGCCTGTAGTACCAACGACTGGGTAGGCTGAATCTGGAGAATTGCTTGAACCCAGGAGGTGGAGGTGGCAGTGAGCCAAGATCACGGCACAGCACTCCAGCCTGGGTGACAGAGCGAGACTCCATCTCAAAAAATAAAATAAATAAAAAAAAAAGAGTCTCTCCTGCAGTTGAGCTCAGGGGAGTCCCTGCCAGCTCCAGCTCCCTACTCGGGCAGGCTGGATGTGGAGCTGGAGCCCCAGAGAAGAACAAGGATGGGGGCGGTGAGCTCACCATGAAGGCCCTCTTCTCTTGGGCTGTCTGGAAGCGGCCATGGCCGAACTTGGAGGTGGTGTCAATGAACTTGAGCTCAATATTCTCCACGGCTTGGCGACTGTGATGCACCAGGAGGGACTGGGGAATCCATGGTAAAGTAAACATCAAGTGTGGGGATCCCCCACACCCTGCTGTGAACCTCCAAGCCCCACCAGGAAGGTCTTGCTCACCTAGTTCCTACCAGAGCCCTCCCCTTCTGCTCCCACCACTCCATCCCGCTCGTAGCAGGCCGCAGGGCAGGACAGGCTGGCAGCCCTCGGGCACCCACTCCCCAGCCCACCCAGCACTGCCAACCTTTCTCAGCGTAATGACCCGCTTCTTGGTACCAGCAATACAACCCTTCAGCATGACGAAGTCGTTGTTCACTTCCCCGTAGTGGGGGAAGCCACCCTGCAGAGGACACAGGTCAGAGGCCAGGCCCGGAAAGGGCTTCTGAGTTAGTGGGTGGCTGGGGGCCCTAGCAGAACCCCCAGAGGGGGCAGTGATAGGCAGGAGCCCCGTGCCCAGCCCCCAGATGTAGGGGTGACTATCACGCCGCCCCTACTGAGGGCAGCATCTGAGTCACAAGCTAAGTCCTTTTCATGCATTATCTCACTTGACAGTCTGCATTTTTGTTGGGGGAGACTGAGGATCAGAGGAGTGGAGTCACTTGCTCCAGCCTCTACAGCTGCTAAGTCCTGGAGATGCGGTTTGAGCCCAGGTGGCCTGACTCCCAGGCCACAGTAGGAGCTGCCGCACTCCACACCCACATGACAGCAGCTGGAGTGGAAGCTGCCTCCAGAGGAGGCTCGGAGGATGTGGGACGCAGCAGAGATTTCTTGCTTGTGACTATATCCAAATGTTTTGGACAGCCAAGGCAAGGGTCCCACATCACTGCCCAGCTGTCAAGGTCTTCTGTCCAGTGTGCCTGGCGGGGCAGCGTCCAGCTGTGGGGCAAAAATCTTGAGCCCTTGGGGCAGGGAGCGTCCAGCTGAGGCTGGGGCATGCCCCCTACATGTATACCAGGCCCCCCGGCCAGCCTGACCCCACTCCAGCCATCATCAGCGGTGTGATGGGCCTGGCAGTCGCCCCCTCCCAGCCTCACCAGCGGTGTGATGGACTTGGCAGTCACGTCGTAGCTGGTGGATGCATTGTTCTTCACCAGCTTCCCGTCCTCCATGTGCGGGCCCCTGCCGATGCGGAAGATCTGCCAGAAGGGGGCACATGCCAGGGGCAGGAAGTGGCCTCTGAGGCCAGCAGCCCATCCAGGCCCATCCGCCCACATGCTCAGACTCAGTGCTGGTGGGGGCATCTTGTGTCCCCGGCAGTGTCTGGGTCATGCACCCCACCCACTGAGGCCAGTACTGAGGGCTGGGGTCCGACCACACAGTGTCCCCGTACCCCGGCTGAGGACGCACCTTCTTGTTGAGCTCCGTGCGGTGGTGATAGCCCTTCTGCCCGGCCCGAGCAATGGAGCAGCCCACGCGGGCGGGGTGCCAGGCGCCAATGCAGGCCACCTTGCGCAGGCCCTTATGGGTCTTCCGCGGCAGCTTCTTGGTATGCCAGCGGCTTGTGACCCCTGTGAGTGAGAGGGGCTGGTGGCTGAGAGGCCAGGCTGGTCCCCACTGCCTCCAGGCAGCCTGCCCTGGAGCTGCCATCCTCACTGAGCCCTACCTTTGACGCCTCGACCCTTGGTGACAGCAATGACATCAATGACCTCACTCTGGCTGAACACGCTGTGCACGGGCACCTGCTTCTCCAGCCGGGCCTGGGCCCAGGCCACCTTCTCGGCCACCGTGCCACCGTTCAGCTGGATCTCCATGATGTGGGCCTTCTTCTGCCGGAAGGGCAGCAGTTTCATCTGCAGGACATGGCCGGAGGTCACGCCACGGCCCACGGGATCACACCCCCACCTGAAACATGGCATGGCCAGCAGTGACCCCTGCCGCCTTCCACGCATGCATTCATTCACAGGTGTTCCCAGGATCAGGTTGCAACCCATGTGTTGTGCTAGGCACTGCGGATCCGGTGCAGAATGAGGCAGACAGAGTCCCACACCTCGGGAGCCACCATCTCACTGGGGGACAGAAGGAAACCAAGTAACTCTTGGAGAGGACAGAGTGCTCTGATGGGCTATGGGGGCTGGTGTTTCAGATACAGTGGTCAGGGCAGAGAGGGCTTCTCTGAGAAGGTGCCGCTGCTAACAAGTAGGAGCCACGAGGCAAACATTGGAGAGGCTCTGGGCAGCAGGACCCCGCATTTGCACAGGCCTGGTGGCAGAGGAGGCCTTGGAAAGTTGGTGGGACAGAGAGGAGACCAGTGTGGGCAGACGGTGGGGAGCAAGGGGCGTGGGCCAGCACCTGGGAGTGGGGAGCTCGGACTTTCTTCCAAGTGCAGGCTGCGATGTGATCTGATTGGATTTTTTTTTTTTTTTTTTTTTTTGAGTCTCGCTCTATCGCCCAGGCTGGAGTGCAATGGCATGATCTCGGCTCACTGCAAGCTCTGCCTCCCGGGTTCACGCCATTCCCCTGCCTCAGCCTCCTGAGTAGCTGGGACTACAGGTGCCCGCCACCTCGACCAGCTAATTTTTTGTATTTTTAGTTGAGACAGGGTTTCACTGTGTTGGCCCGGATGGTCTGCATCTCCTGACCTCATGATCCGCCCGCCTCAGCCTCCCAAAGTGCTGGGATTACAGGCGTGAGCCACCACGCCCGGCCTTTTTTTAATGGAGTCTCGCTCTGTTGCCCAGACTGGAGTACAGTGGGGCGATCTCGGCTCACTGCAACCTCTGCCTCCCTGAATCAAGTGATTCTCCTGCCTCAGCTTCTTGAGTAACTGGGATTACAGGTGTGTGCCACCATGCCCGGCTAATTTTTTTGTATTTTTAGTACAGTTGGGGTTTCCCATGTTGGCCAGGCTGGTTTCAAACTCCTGACTTCAAGCGATCCACCCACCTTGACCTCCCAAAGTGCTAGGGTTCAGGCATGAGCCACTGCACCTGGCCTGATTTTTATTTTTTTATATTTTTATTTTGAGACAGGGTCTCGCTCTGTCACCCAGGCTGGAGTGCAGTGGCATGATCAAGGCTCACTGCAGCCTCAGCCTCCCGGGCCGAAGCAATCCTCCCACCTTAGCCTCCTGAGTAGCTGGGATGACAGGCACTCACCACCATGCCCAGTTGTTTTTTTTTTGTTTGTTTGTTTGTTTGTTTTTTGAGACGGAGTTTTGCTCTGTCGCCCAGGCTGGAGTGCAGTGGCGCAATCTCGGCTCACTGCAAGCTCTGCCTCCTGGGTTCACGCCATTCTCCTACCTCAGCCTCCCGAGTAGCTGGGACTACAGGTTGTGCCACTACGCCTGGCTAATTTTTTGTATTTTTAGTAGAGACGGGGTTTCACCGCGTTAGCTAGGATGGTCTCAATCTCCTGACCTGATCTGCCTGCCTCGGCCTCCCAAAGTGCTGGAATTACAGACGTGAGCCACCGCGCCTGGCTTTTTTTTTTTTTTTTTGTAGAGATGGGGATCTCCCTATGTTGCCAAGACTGGTCTCGAAGTCCTCCTGCCTCAGCACCCCTCTCCAAGTAGCTGGAACTACAGGCATGCACCACCATGCCCAGCCAATTTTTAATTTTTTTGTAGAGATGAGGTCTCGTTAAGTTGCCCGGGCTGCCACCTTGTCCTCCCACAGTGCTAGGATCACTGGTGTAAGCCACTGGGCCTGATTTTTGTTTTTTTTTTTTTTCTTTTTTTTTTTTTTTTTTTTTTGAGACTCTATCGCCCGGGCTGGAGTGCCATGGTGCGATCTTGGCTCACTGCAACCTCCACCTCCCAGTTTCAAGTGATTCTCCTGCCTCAGTCTCCCAAGTAGCTGGGATTGCAGGCGCCCACCATGCCCAGCTAATTTGTTTGTATTTTTACTAGAGATGGGGTTTTGCCATGTTGGCCAGGCTGGTCTCGAACTCCTGACCTCAGGTGATCCGCCTGCCTTGGCCTCCCAAAGTGCTGGGGTTACAGGCGTGATCCACCATGTCTGGCTTGATTTTTTTTTTTTTTTTTTGGTAAGGTCTCTGGCTGGTGCTGTGTGAAGCACAGGCTGTGCAATGTAGAGGTGGAGACAGAGAGGCCAGCGGGGAACACATAGTGACCCATAGGTATGTATGGGGCAGGTATGTATGAGGCAGGTATGTACGGGGCAGGTATGGACGGGGCAGTATGTACGGGGCAGGTATGTACGGGGCAGGTATGTAGGGGGCAGGTATGTAGGGGGCAGGTATGGACGGGGCAGGTATGGACGGGGCAGGTATGGACGGGGCAGGTATGGACGGGGTAGGTATGGACGGGGTAGGTATGTAGGGGGCAGGTATGTAGGGGGCAGGTATGTAGGGGGCAGGTATGTAGGGGGCAGGTATGTAAGGGGCAGGTATGTAAGGGGCAGGTATGTAAGGGGCAGGTATGGACGGGGCAGGTATGGACAGGGCAGGTATGTAGGGGGCAGGTATGTAGGGAGCAGGTATGGACGGGGCAGGTATAGACAGAGCAGGTATGTAGGGGGCAGGTATGGACGGGGCAGGTATGTAGGGGGCAGGTATGGACGGGGCAGGTATGTAGGGGGCAGGTATGGACAGGGCAGGTATGTATGGGGTGGGTATGTATGGGGTGGGTATGTATGGGGCGGGTATGTATGGGGCAGGTATTTACAGAGCACCTCCTGCATACCAGGCTCTTGGTGGCAGCTGTGGCCCCGCCCAGGGCCTCTGCCTGCCTGGAGTCTGTCCAGGGAGATGAACACACACCAGTGACTGGCCCAGGCATGGTGTACAAGTGTGCGAGCAGCTGGGGGCAGTGTGGGGGCTGTGGGAAGCTCAGGGTCGGGGGCACTGCTCTAGGGCCTCGGGAAGCCTTCCCTGAGGACAAAGATGCCAAAGAGTGTTCCAGAATAAGCTGGAGGGTGCCGCCTGCCTGTCAGCCTACAGCAAGCCAGACCCATGTACAAACACGGATTCCTGTGCACACTTACGCTGGAAACCGAAGAGAGGTGACCAGCCCTCCACACAGCACACTTGGCTGGGGACCCGGCTCTTCAGGGCGTGCCAGGGTCTTAGTTGACTAGCCGGCGTGGCTGATGCCCCTGGCACCCCAGAAGGCACCGATGCCTTTCAGCAGCCATGCCTGGGGCTGCACGTGGCCAGCGAGGCTGGTCAGCCGCTCCTCTGGGTCTGTGCCGAGGCTCGGGTATTTTTAGGCTGACATTTGCCACAGCTCCTGGAAGCTGGGGTGAGGGAGCGTGGTCCTAGGGACTGACCGACAGCGGAGGGCCGGGGGCTGACCTGAGTGTGGACAATGACCCGAATGACCTTGCAGTACTTCTTCATGGCGGCGAAGTCCTTCTGTAGCTGCTTTTTCCCGTCTGTGTCCCGCCACCTCTTGCAGGCCTTGGTGAAGGCTTTCTTCTTGCTCTTGTGCCTGAGCCATGCACAGGAGGGTGCTCAGAAGCCCCCAACCGGGGCAGCTCCCCAGGCCTATCCTGCCCCCACCTCACCCCCAGCCCACCAAGCAGGGGTCCTACCTCTGGGACCGCCCCCCACCCGGAGGCCTCTGAGCTGGTTCCAGCCACCATCTTTGAACATAGACTGTCTCTCCCCCTCTAGGCCCCGGTTTCCTCCTCTGTAAAGTAGGTACCCTCCCTGTTTCCCGGGGCCTGAGAGTGAGTGGCAGAGGTGCAGAAGCTCAGAGAAGGCGGCTGGCCAGCCCTGCAGTCCAGGCACCTAGAGACCACCCCACCTGCCACATGGCTCAGACTGCTGGTCCCACTTCTCAAGGGTGCAGTGGGTGCCATGGCCAGGCACCTCGGGCTTGGGAGCCATCCTTTCTTTTTTGTTTTTGGAGATAGGGTCTCACTTTCTCTCCCAGGCTGGAGTGCAGTGGCACAAACACAGCTCACTGCAGCCTGGAGCTCCCAGACTCAAGCAATCCTCCCACCTCACCCCCCATGTAGCTGAGACCACAGGCATGCGCCACCGTGCCCGGCTAATTTTTTGTATTTTTTTGTAGAGACGGGTTTCGTCATGTTGCCCAGGCTGGTCTCGAAGCCCTGAGCTCAAACGGTCTGCCTGCCTTAGCCTCCCAAAGTGCTGGAATTATAGGAATGAACCATTGTGCCCAGCCAGAAGCCATAGTTTCTAACCCTCAGCAGAGTTCTGGGAGGTGGACATTATTATTATTATTATTATTATTATTATTATTATTATTATTATTCCCATTCTATAGGTGAAGAAACCAAGGTTTCTTTCAGGACTTACTGCCAGGGAAGATTTGAGGCCCGAGAATACCTTTCTATGTGTAAGAGCTTCTCAGCTGGCTATTTCACTTTTCACAATGGCTGCTAGGAAACTCAGAGCCAATGCTAACATTCCATCAAATTAGCCTTTTGGTTTTTTGTTTGTTTGTTTTTTGACAGGGTCTCACTCTGTCGCTCACACTGGAGTGCAGCGGCACAATCTCAGCTCACTACAATCTCCACCTCCCAGGCTCAAGCGATTCTCCTGCCTCAGCCTCCCAAGTAGCTGGGATTACAGGTGTCTGCCACCACGCCCAGCTTATTTTTTTATTTTTATTTTTTTTTTTGTATTTTTAGTAGAGACGGGTTTTCACCATGTTGGCCAGGCTGGTCTCGAACTCCTGACCTCAAATGAGCCACCCGCCTTGGCCTCCCAAAGTGCTGGGACTACTACAGTCGTGAGCCACCACAAGCCGCCCAAATTAGCCTTTTAATTAACCCTGAGGATTAGAATATTTGTTTCCTCTTTTTCCTCCATCCTGATTTCATCTCCAGCCTTCTAGTACTCATGTTTTTTGTTTTTTGTGTTTTTCTTGAGATTGAGACAGGGTTTCACTCTGCCACCCAGGCTGCAGTGCAGTGGCACGATCTCAGCTCACTGCAACCTTCACCTCCCAGTTCAAGTGATTCTCCCACCTCAGCCTCCTGAGTAGCTGGACTACAGGTGCGCACCACCCCAGCCAGCTAATTTTTGTATTTTTTGGTAGAGATGGGGTTTCACCATGTTGGCCAAGCTGGTCTCAAACTCCTGACCTCAAGTGATCCACCCGCCTCGGCCTCCCAAAGTGCTGGGATTACAGGCGTGAGCCAGCACGCCCAGCCTACTCATCTTTTATTGAAATGAAGGCAACCACACAACACACACACACACACACACAGACACTCCTACCTCCCACAGACGGTTGAGACTTCGCTTCCTACTCACCCACACCTATCATTTCAGCAAGAGCTAGAGCCTCAGGCACCCAACTTCTGTGGTCCCAGCAGCCCTTGGACGGCCCAGCCAAGGGCGGTGCTCACCAGTCCTTGTAGAATCGGCGCCGGCACTCATCACTGAGGTGTTCTGCAAAGATGGTCTTGAAGCTCCGGAGACCTCGAGGGGTGGCCACGTAGCCCACCACGCCCACCACCACTAGGGGCGGCGTTTCTACAATTGTCACCGCCTCCACCTCCTCCCGTTTGGAAATTTCTGGATGAGACACAGGGATGGGGCATGAAGGGGGACCTCCTGAGGCCTGTGGGGGAGGGAGTGGAGAGCCGCCCACATAGGGGCAGGACAGGAGAGTGTGGGGCCAGCCAGGACAGCATTCCCCAGAGGGTGGGGCTGAGCCCAAATGAGCATTTGTTATTCTAATGATTACAATGGATTTCTTTTTCTGTTTTTGAGACAGGGTCTCACTCTGTCACCCAGGCTGCAATGCAGTGGTGCAATCATAGCTCACTGCAGCCTTGACTTCCCAAGCTCAAGTGATCCTCCCACCTCAGCCTCCCAAGTAGCTGCGACTACAGGCACTCGCCACAACGCCCAGCTAATTTTTGTATTTTTTGTAGAGATAGGGTTTCACGATGCCGTCCAGGTTGGTCTGCAACTCCTGGCCTCAAATGATCCTCCTGCCTCGGCCTCCCAAAGTGCTGGGATTACAGGCGTGAGCCACCATGCCCGGCCTGCATTATTTCTTACAACTACTTGTGAATCTACGATTAAAACAACAAAAACTAACTATATACATAGGCGTACATATGAAATAATGGTACATGAAATAGACCCGAAATGGCCAAAAAGTGCAGATGTCCTGGCAGGTGGTTTGAACCGAGGGCTTGGGGCGCTGGCCTTTGAATCCTAGCTCCTGCGCTTACCGCCCCGGTGACTGGACCAGGTTCCTCACTGCTTTGTGCCTCAATGTCCTCATCTGCGAGCTGGGGCCATGACAGAACCCGCCCGGAAGCCCTGCCTGTGCTCAGCGTCCACCCCAATTCCCGGGGGCGAGGCCTGGTGCTCCCTGGGACTGTGGCCCTGTCTGGACCAAAAGCGTGAGTTCTGGCTCCGAGCATCTGGAAGGTTCAGCCCTCCCCCTCCCCCAAGGGTCCCAACTGTGACTCACTGAGCCCCGGCCGGTGCACCTCCCGCAGGGTGTGGGTCATGCCCGCCTTGTAGCCCAGGAAGGCCGTGAGGTGCACGGGCTGGCTGGGGTCATCCCGCGGCCACGTCTTCACCTTGCCCCGGTGCCGGTGGCTCCTCTTATGGGGCAGGAAGCCCAGGTGTCCGTGCCGAGGGGCGGAAAACTTCCGGTGGGACTGGGGGGCAGGAAGGAAGGAGGTCAGACCTGGGGTGTCCCTGGTGGTAGAGCTGGATGGTCCCAGAACCCATACCTGGAGAAATGGACTACAGGCTTCAGACTGAGGCCTGTGCTCAGCACCTCCCCTGTCTGCCTACAGGAGGGGAGAGGAAGGTTCACCAAGGGGCAGCGTCTTTGGGATGGGGTCTCCATAGCCACAGGCTTCCTGCCTCTGTGGGCTCAGCCTGGGGCCCAGGAGGGTCGCACCCATACTGCAGCCAAGGGCTCCTGGGGCAGGTGGCCGCTGCCATCTGTTCATCTCCAGGGCCCTCCCAGGCCCAGGAGCCCAGCCCTCGTCCCCTTGTTTCCCCCTCCAGCCTCCCATCCCCTCACAGGCTGGGAGACTGTCCCTCTGAGGGAGCATCCAGAAGCCCAGCTGTCCCACCCCCCCAGAGTTCCAGCTCCAACCCCAGCCCACCCTCACCCTGGTCCCACCAACCATGGTGGCCGATCCCTGAAGGTCAGGAAGGGGCCTCGCCGCTAGCCGCCAGAGGTCGAGTGGCAGGGCCAGGACTCACAGCTGCCAGTTCCCAGATTAGCCCCTGGCACAGTCAGCAGGGTCTCCGGTGCCAGGAGCAGGCAGGGGCGGGGCAGTGTTGGGGGCATCAGATAGACAGCCTGAGTGGGGCACCCGGAGCCAGGGCTGGCACTCCTTTCCTCGATGGCCCTGGGGCTGGGTCATGACCCTCCCAGGACAGGACTGGCCAGGCAAGGTGGGGGCCAAGGTAGCCGGTGGGGGCCTTCTCCCAGGCAGCGGCCAAGAGGAGGGGTCTGGAGCAGTTTGCCGACTTGGAGGCAGAGGGGGTTCCTGTCCTGAGGGCTGGGAGACAGCTGGATAAACAGCGGGGAGCAGGGCTGGGGACAGGGCAGACGAGGGGGAGGGCTGACTGCACCTTGAGGATCACCAGAGCTGTGCTTCCAGATTGAGATCCCTGGCTGAGTGCAGTGGCTCATGCCTGTAATCCCAGCACTTTGGGAGGCTGAGGCAGGAGGATCACTTGAGCCCAGGATGTCAGGCCGCAGTGAACCTTGACTGCACTCCAGCCTGCGTGACTGAGCGAGACACTGTCTTAAAAACAAAAAAAAAGCCAGCCTGGCCAACATGGTGAAACCCCATCTCTACTAAAAATATAAAAATTAGCCGGGCGTGGTGGTGTGGGCCTGTTAATTCCAGCTACTTGGGAGGCTGAGGCAGGAGAATCACTTGAACCTGGGAGGCAGAGGTTGCAGGTTGCAGTGAGGCGAGATCGCGCCGCTGCACTCCAGCCTGGGCAATAGGGTAAGACTCCGTCTCAAAAAAAAAAAAAAAATCAAGATCTGACTCCTGTCATTCACAATCATTGAAATACTTTTATGAATTTATCTTTTTTATTTTTTTGAGATGGAGTCGCTCTGTTGCCCAGGCTGGAGTGCAGAGGCGTGATCTCGGCTCACTGCAAGCTCCCCCTCCCGGGTTCACACCATTCTCCTGCCTCAGCCTCCCAAGTAGCTGGGACTACAGGCGCCTGCCACCACACCCGGCTACCTTTTTGTATTTTTGGTAGAGACGAGGTTTCACTGTGTTAGCCAGGATGTTCTCGATCTCCTGACCTTGTGATCTGCCTACCTCAGCCTCCCAAAGTGCTGGGATTACAGGCATGAGCCACCGCGCCTGGCCTTATTTAAAGAGACAATGTCTCATTCCATGGCTCAGGCTGGAATGCAGCGGTGTGATCATACCTCACTTGCAGCCTCAACCTTTTGGGCTTAAGTGGTCCTTCTGCCTCAGCAGGACCTAATTTTTAAATGTGTCTTGTTGTAGAGGCGGGCGTCTCACCATGTTGCCTAGGCTGGTCTGAAACTCCTGGCCTCAAGTGATTCTCCTGCCTCAGCCTCTCAAAGTGCTGAGATTACAGGTATAAGCCACAGCACCTGGCCAAATTTAAATTTTGAATTTAAGTTTTGAATGAAGAGGGGGTTGAAATCTTATTTTTTTTTCTTTTTTTTTTTTTTTTTTTGAGACAGGGTTTCTCTCTGGTGCCCAGGCTAAAATGTAGTGGCACAGTAATAGCTCACTGCAGCCTCAGTCTCCTGGGTTCAAGCAATCCTCCTGCCTTCATCCCCCTGAGTAGCTGAGACCACAGGCACTTACCACCATGCCTCACTAATTTTTGTATTGTTTATAGAGATGGGGATCTCATTATGTTGCCCAGGCTGGTCTCGAACTCCTGAGCTCAAGCAATCTGCCTGCCTTGGCCTCCTAGAGTGCTAGGATTACAGATGTGAGCCACTGCGCCCCTCAAAATCTTTTTCAATTCAAAGATTCTATGGTTGTAAAGTTTTGTTTTTTTTGTTTTTGTTTTGAGATGGAGTCTCATTCTGTTGCCCAGGCTGGAGTTCAGTGGCACAATCTCGGCTCACTGTAACCTCTGCTTCCTGGGTTCAAGCTATCCTCCTGCCTCAGCCCCACTAGTAACTGGGATTACAGGTGTGTGCCACCATGCCCAGCTGATTTTTGTATTTTTAGTAGAGATGGGGTTTTGCCATGTTGGCCAGGCTGGTCTTAAACTCCTGACCTCAGGTGATCCACCCGCCTCGGCCTCCCAAAGTGCTGGGATTACAGGTGTGAGCCACCCCGCCCAGCCAGTTGTAAAGTTCTATAGCAGTGGAATTCTAGAGTTTTTCAGGCCTATGACATCTCTAAGATACGTGGTTCTTACATCAATAGATACTAAGATTCTAGGCTACTAAAATGTCAAGATTGTTTGGGTCTCATGGTTCATATTTCTTTCCAAGACTTTGGCCAGGCACAGTGGCTCATGTCTGTAATCTCAGAACTTTGGGAGGCCGAGGTGGGCAGATCACGTAAGGTCAGGAGTTTGAGACCAGAAACATGGTGAAACCCTGTCTCTACTAAAAATACAAAAAATTAGCCGGGCGTAGTGGCAGACACCTGTAGTCTCAGCTACTCAGGAGGCTGAGACAGGAGAATCACTTGAAACTGGGAGGAGGAGGAGGTTGCAGTGAGCCGAGATTACGCGCTGCACTCCAGCCTGGGCAACAGAGCGAGAGAACTGTCTCAAAAAAAAAAAAACAAAAACAAAAACAAAAAAAGAAAAAAAAGTTCATAATGTGAAGACCGAACGTTTCTGTGACCGTAGATCCTGTTGTGTCCGGAATTGGTGAGTTCTTGGTCTCACTGACTTCAAGAATGAAGCCACGGACCCTCGCGGTGAGTGTTGCAGTTCCTAAAGGCGGGGTGTCCGGAGTTTGCTCGTTCTGATGTTCCGATGTGTTCGGAGTTTCTTCCTTCTGGTAGGTTCGCGCTCTCGCTAGCTCAGGAATGAAGCTACAGACCTTCGCGGTGTTACAGCTCTTAAGGCGCCGCGCGTCTGGAGTTGTTCATCCTGCCAGTGGGCTCGTAATCTCACTGGCTTCAGGAGTGAAGCTGCAAATCTTCGCGGTTGAGTGTTACAGCTCATAAAGGCACTGTGACCCCAAAGAGTGAGCAGCAGCAAGACTTACTGGAAAGAGAGAAAGAACAAAGCTTCCACACTGTGGAAGGGGACCTGAGTGAGTTACCACTGCTGGCTCCCGCAGCCTGCTTTTATTCTCTTATCTGGCCCCACCCACATCCTGCTGATTGGTAGAGTCCAGTGGTCTGTTTTGACAGGGCGCTGATTGGTGCGTTTACAATCCCTGAGCTAGACACAAAGCTTCTCCACATCCTCACCAGATTAGCTAGATACAGAGTGTCCACACAAAGGTTCTCCAAGTCCCCACCAGAGTAGCTAGATACAAAGTGTCGATTGGTGCATTCACAAACCCTGAGCTAGACACAGAGTGCTGATTGGTGTGTTTACAAACCTTGTGCTAGATACAGAGTGCCGATTGGTGTATTTACAATCCCTGAGCTAGACATAAAGGTTCTCCACGTCTCCACCAGACTCAGGAGCCCAGCTGGCTTCACCCGGTGGATCCCGCACGGGGGCTGCAGGTGGAGCTGCCTGCCAGTCCCGCGCCGTACGCCCGCACTCCTCAGCCCTTGGGTGGTTGATGGGATTGGGCGCCCTGGAGCAGGGGGCGGCGCTCGTCGGGGAGGTTCGGGCCGCACAGGAGCCCACGGAGTGGGGGAGGCTCAGGCATGGCGGGCTGTAGGTCCCGAGCCCTGCCCCGCGGGGAGGCAGCTAAGGCCTGGCGAGAGAAATCGAGCGCAGCGCCGGTGGGCCGGCCTGCTGGGGGACCCAGCACACCCTCCGCAGCCGCTGGCCCGGGTGCTAAGCCCCTCATTGCCCAGGGCCGGCAGGGCCGGCCAGGCTCTCCGAGTGCGGGGCCCGCCGAGCCCACACCCACCTGGAATTCGCGCTGGCCCGCAAAGCACCGCGCGCAGCCCCGGTTCCCGCCTGCGCCTCTCCCTCCACACCTCCCCGCAAGCTGAGGGAGCCCGCTCTGGCCTTGGCCAGCCCAGAAAGGGGCTCCTCAAGTGCCGCCAAAGTGGGAGCCCAGGCAGAGGAGGCGCCGAGAGCGAGCGAGGGCTCTGAGGACTGCCAGCACGCTGTCACCTCTCACTGTTTGTCTGTAGGGTTGATGGTTCTGTGTCGCTGGCCTCAACCTCAGGACAGGACATGACCAGTGTCCCCCCTGGATAGCAGCCAGGGGCCGTGCCAGGTGTGGAGACTGAAGATGTGGCCAGCAGGACCCTGCTCAGTGGAGCTGCCTAGAAGCACCAGAGTGCCCCAGGGCCAGGATGGAACCATCAAAGCCGGCCAGAGGGCCCTGTGCCCAGGGTAGGTGCCTTCTCCCTATGAGCCGCCTAAGGGCAAGCCCTGCCTCCTGGTCTGCTCCCTGCCCTCCCCCAGACAGGCTCCCAAGTTAACTGGCACCAGCCAGTCCATGAGGGGCCCTTGTAGAGAGCGGGGCCCAGAGAAGTCTGTAGGGACTAGGCAATCCAGGAAAGCTTCCTGGAGGAGTAGGGTGTTTGGAATCGCGTGCTATTTGTTCACTTTGTCGTGTGCGCTCTAACGGCCTGTGTTCTCCATCACAGTTTATCTTATTCCCTGCTGCACTCAGCACAGTGCCTGGCGCGCAGTGGGAACCGAATGACCCCCTCCTATTCCTTATGTCAGTTGCCTTTTGTCTGTTTCTTTCATCGTAAGCAGGAATCTGTCCGGTTCGCGGCTGCTTCCCAGGCGCCCAGACCAGCGACCAGCACCGCGTAGGCGCTCGGCACAGACCGAGAACGGAGGCCCCACGCGGGGGCGCCCTGCGGCGAGGCGGGTCCCGGCCGCGCCCGGCGGAGCCGGGGAACTACAAGTCCCATGGTGCATCGCGGCGCCAGCGCGCAGACGCAGCCGCCCTCGGCGTCCTCTGTAGCGGGCGACCTAGGCCGCGGGACCCGGACGGAGGTAGAGGCCAGGGCAGCGCGTCCGGGAGCGGAGTCCGCGCCCGCCGCCGCCATGCCGGACAGCTGGGACAAGGATGTGTACCCTGAGCCCCCGCGCCGCACGCCGGTGCAGCCCAATCCCATCGTCTACATGATGAAAGCGTTCGACCTCATCGTGGACCGACCCGTGACCCTCGTGAGAGGTACGAAGCCCCAGCCCGGGGCTCCCTCGCCGGCCTCTGGGGACCCCTGGATCCCACACCCTGCCTGGATCCTCCAATGCCTCCGGGGTCCCGTCTGCCTGAGACCGCCCCCCGCTGCACCCCGGGGACAACTCCCCACCCCCGGAGACCTCCGAGCTCCGTCGCCTCCTTTGGCCTCCCACTGCACCCCGGACCTCACCTCCCAGGATCCCTTACTCTCCCCTGCACCCCGGGATGCCCCGCTTCTTCCCAGGACTCTTCCCTCCCTGCCGCACCCAGCGCCCACTGCCCCAGGACCCCGCACTGCTCTCCGCCCCCCGCCGCCCCGGGCACCCCTCCACTGCACCGCTGGCCTCAGGCCTCTCTCAAATGTCTCTCTGCCGGATGACCAAGTGTCGGGGTGATGGCCGAGATGCCCAAATTCAGCATCTCTGGAACGAACCGGGAAAATGCCCAGTTCAGTTTTTGTTGTTTTTTTTTTTCCTGAGACAGTCTCACTCTGTTGCCCAGGCTGGAGTGCAGTGGCGCGATCTCGGCTCACTGCAACCTCTGCCCCACCCCGGGTTCAAGCGATTCTCCTGCCTCAGCCTCCCCAGTACTAGGATTACAGGCGCACCACCACCACGCCCAGCTAATTTTTATATTTTTAGTAGACACGGGGTTTCACCATGTTGGCCAGGCTGGTCTCGAACTCCTGACCTCAGGTGATCCTCCCACCTTGGCCCCCAGGTGCTGGGATTACAGGCCTGAGCCACCGTGTCCAGCCTGGTTCAGTTCTTTTTGAACACTTGGGGTGCATAGCATGCTCTGGTGGTTCTTCCGTAAGAGGGTGAAGTCTCCAAATCAAACCCCCAAAGATCTGGAAACCGTGCAACAGCGGACCCAGCTCCCTCTCTTTTGTAGCAGTTGTAGAGCATGTCTGTCCTATGTGTCTGGATGTTCGAGCTCTCCTTTTAGCTCGTTCATTTCCCAGTGAGGAAGCTGAGGCCGTAAGGTGGTAAGTTCTGCTTGCTGGAGGCTCCCTGTTGGAGCCTCTTTGCGCACCCAGCAGGGTCCCTGTGCAGCTGGGGGAGGTGCACTGGCAGAGCTGCGTCCCAGTCCTTGCCATCTGTGAGAAGCAGCTGCCTGTAGGCTTGTGTGGGGGACAGAGTAAGGTAATGCATGTGGAACTCTGAGGATGATGCCTGGTACTCGGGAGCTCTCCATCAGCTGTAGCCTAGGCCTTCACAGGCCTGCCTGGCTGGCCACATCCCTTAGAGAGACGAATTGCTGTTTTCTAAACGCTGGAACACTCAGGAAGTTCTCCTCTCTCCCCTCCAAAGGGCTTATGAGAAATAAGAAAGCTAAAAGCCTGTCCAAACCGATGAGGCATTTGAGTCTGTGGCTTTGTCTTTGCAGAATTTATAGAGCGGCAGCACGCAAAGAACAGGTATTACTACTACCACCGGCAGTACCGCCGCGTGCCAGACATCACTGAGTGCAAGGAGGAGGACATCATGTGCATGTATGAAGCCGAAATGCAGTGGAAGAGGGACTAGTACGTGAGCCATGCTGGGAGTGTGGAGATCTGCACCGTGTGCTGCTGGGACACTAGTCCCTGGGATGCCACAGGGTGGCATGCCCAGATTTTAGGGGTGACATGGGAGGAGCCAGACCCCAGGGCTCTTGCTTTCAATTGTTCTCACAGGGTACAGGAAAAGGATTCCTTGTGATTAGCCTCTCTTGCTCCTTTTCTCCACCAGCAAAGTCGACCAAGAAATTATCAACATTATGCAGGATCGGCTCAAAGCCTGTCAGCAGAGGGAAGGACAGAACTACCAGCAGAACTGTATCAAGGAAGTGGAGCAGTTCACCCAGGTGGCCAAGGCCTACCAGGACCGCTGTGCGTGCCCCACCCACCCCCAACCCCCCACCATCCTCCTGAGGCCTGGGGGCCAGAACCATTGCAAATCTTCCCTCCCCTCCCTTGTGCTCACTTGACTTTGCCCCCTTTGCATGTAGCAGAGGCCTCGGTTCCCAGCTTGTTTCCATTGCTTCCCCAGATCAGGACCTGGGGGCCTACAGTTCTGCCAGGAAGTGCCTGGCCAAACAGAGGCAGAGGATGCTGCAAGAGAGAAAAGCTGCAAAAGAGGCCGCCGCTGCCACCTCCTGAGGCAGCTGTGGGTGCCCCTGCTGTGTGGCTCTGTATGACTGTTGCTGAAATATAAAGCCCTGCAACCTGCCTGTGTGTCTGGTGTGATCTATTGGCCCCACGCCCCAGATTCAAACCACCACTAACCATGCAGGACACGGGAAAAAAACAGTAACACGCTTAATTCACTTTATTTTTCTTGTATAAAAACCCTATGTTGTAGCCACAGCTGGAGCCTGAGTCCGCTGCACGGAGACTCTGGTGTGGGTCTTGACGAGGTGGTCAGTGAACTCCTGATAGGGAGACTTGGTGAATACAGTCTCCTTCCAGAGGTCGGGGGTCAGGTAGCTGTAGGTCTTAGAAATGGCATCAAAGGTGGCCTTGGCTGCAAAACAAAAGAACCCCAGGAGGGTCAGTGGTGTGCTTGAGGCAAGTCCCCCAACCCAAAAATTGTCGCACTCCTAGGAACAGAGAGGCCATTCTGGGCGGGTCTGTCGTGCATTAGGAGAGCCTTTCTCTGCCTCCCTGAAAACACGCCAAGCACACACTGGACCCGTGTGGTTAAGCGGAGCTGAGAGACCATGGCTATGCCCCATGTGTGGACCACCTACCGAAGTTGCCCAGGGTGGCAGTGCAGCCCCGGGCTGAGGTGTAGCAGTCATCGATACCAGCCATCATGAGCAGCTTCTTAGGCACAGGTGCGGAGACGATGCCAGTGCCCCTGGGTGCAGGGATGAGGCGTACCAGCACAGAGCCGCAGCGGCCTGTCACCTGGTGAGGGAAGGAGTCAGGAGACGGGGGCCCGAGGGAGCCTGCCCCACGGCAGGCCCATCACCTGCCACCAGCCTACCTTGCAAGGGACAGTGTGGGGCTTGCCGATCTTGTTCCCCCAGTAGCCTCTGCGCACGGGGACGATGGAGAGCTTGGCCAGGATGATGGCCCCACGGATGGCGGTGGCCACCTCCTTGGAGCACTTAACACCCAGACCGACGTGGCCATTGTAGTCCCCGATAGCAACAAATGCCTGCGAAAAGATGTGTGTGAGGCAGCTGGTGGCCCTACACCCAATCACTGCCCACCGCCCAGGGCCTGTTGCACCCCTCAAGGAAAGAGAGGCCACAGTAAGGCCCATCCGAGGTCCTGAGGAGATCTTTTCTCTCTCTCCCCGTTACGAAAGTCACACGGGTGAAGCCAAGTGCAACTATGCAGAGCCGAGAGAGTCCCGGCAAGCCCAGCGCAGCCCCCTCCAGGACAGCCGGGTACCTTGAACCTGGTGCGCTGGCCGGCACGGGTCTGCTTCTGCACTGGCATAATCTTCAAAACCTCATCCTTGAGAGAGGCCCCCAGGAAGAAATCAATGATCTCTGATTCCTGAAACAAACAAGAAAATTGTAGGGAGAGCATTAAAAAAAAACTTAATACCATTATGATATTCAAGAACCAAAGTCACGGCCGGGGGCGGTGGCTCAAGCCTGTAATCCCAGCACTTTGGGAGACTGAGGTGGGCGGATCACAAGGTCAGGAGTCCGATACCAGCCTGGCCACATGGTGAAACCCCACCTCTATTAAAGACACAAAAAATTAGCCGGGCATGGTGGAGTGCGCCTGTAACCCCAGCTATTCAGGAGGCTGAGGCAGGAGAATCGCTTGAACCTGGGAGGTGGAGGTTGCAGTGAGCCGAGATCACGCCAGCCTAGGCGATAGGGCGAAACTGTGTAACCGCCCACCCCGCCCAAAAAAAACCGAAGAAGTCATGAACCCCCTCACCTGGCTTCCCCCCGATCTGTCCCCTTCGTTTCGTTTTTGGAAGCTTGTATGTAAGGTTACCCTATTTCTGCATCTCAATCGTTTCTTCCTATTTGCCCTTTTTCTCTTGTTTGGTGAGATGTGGCTTTCCACTCAGATTTCCTTTTGCTTTGTCCAGCTTTGGCCTAGCCATGACCACCGTACCTTGCTAGGGCGAACGCTCACATGACAAATATGCCATTAGCCTTTCCCCACTGCACCCGCTGGATGCAGATGACAGCTGTCCCGTACACGCGGACTATGACAGTTTGCTAACCCTTACAGTGTCCTCCCACAACCTGAACTTCATCATCCTCTCGGATGGCATGAACCAAGCGCTGCTTCTCTTTCAGTTCTTTCGAAATGAATTCGCTGCGAATGTGGGAAGATGCGCTGAAATGCCTTTTGTGGCTCTGGCTTCGCTCAGGTATCCATCCAACCTCTAAGTGGAATCCTCTCCTCAGCCAGCCCGCAACACAACCTCAACCTCTCACGCGAGACGCTGGGCCCTTTAATGCGAGTCAATGGCAGATGCTAATCCTCCAACCCCAGCCCAAATGACTCCGGGGTCGCACTTGCTCAACGCCCCAACGACCGACGCGTACCTTAATAGGCAGGGAGAAGAGATAGATCTCCTCCAGGGACTTGATCTTCATGTCCTTGACCAAGCGGCCCAACTTGGTGACGGGCATCCACTAAAGGGAGAAAAGGCGCCAGTGACCAGGACCGCTCTCCGGCGCCGCCCAGGGGCCCGACCCCGAGCGTGGCTGATACCTACCTCCTTATCCTCGGCCTTGCCTCCGCGAGCTCCGCGGCCTCGGCCCCGGCCCCGTCCACGGCCGCGACCCCGGCCCCGGATGCCACTGCCGAAACCTCCGCGGAAGCCACCGCGGTTCCCCATCCCAGGGCCACCAGGGCCCCCGGGCCCCCCCGCTGCACCGGCGTCATCCGCCATTTGCTGGGAAAAGCGACAAGAAGGAACTAGTCAGTGTGGCCTACGCATCTGGCAGCCCCCCGCGAGACCCAGACAAGGGCTCCCGCCCAGGAGCGCGGACTCGGGAGCCTAGACCCGACCCGATGTCCGCGGATTCCCGCCGCCCACGCAGAGGCCCGCTGCAGCGACCAACAGGACTCACGTGTTTTGTCGGAAAAGAAGAACGAGACCTACTGGGAAGCAGCTTTTATAGCACGCCAAGCGCCGCGAGATCTCCGCAGCCCCGCCCCAAGCGGGAGCGGGCCGAGCTCCTATAAGACAACCTGTGATTGGCTCCGCGGTGCCCCGCCCTCACCGGGCTCTGAGTGCTCTTGCCCGTCCGGCCCCAGCCGCGGCCCGGGAATCTACGTCACCCGAAAAGCGACTATAAACGCCGGCGCCTCCGTCCCCAGCCGCGGCTCGGGAATCCACCCGAAGAGTGGCTATAAACGTCCGCGCCTCCATTGCGCTCTCCTCTTCACTTAGGTAGGTCCTGCCGCGTTGACCACTGGCGTCTCGCTGGTGGTCTTCGAGACCGGCGTTGGTTGAAAATCGCCCCCGGCTTTGGCCGTGGCCGCGGGTGAGATTCGGCGCCCAGAGCCCCCGGGGGCCTCAGCTCACCGCGCGCTGCCCCATGTGCGGCGGTGAAACCCAGGCCCCGACAGGCGCTGCCGCCTCCCCCCCGGGTGCGGTCGCTCGCGAGGTCTGGCCCCTGACTCCTGACCCCGACTGCAGACCCCTAACCTTGTTCTTTCTCCGCAGGACACTGGTCCTCCCACGCCTGACACCGACGTCGCCAGGACCGCGGGGTTGGGGGAACTTGGCTGTCCCACGTCTTTCAAATAAAGCTGTTTTGTCTAACTCACTGCATGCGGGTGTTCTTGGGGCCCCGACTCGCCTATCAGCCTGGCGGCAAGTGCATATGTTCACGCTGTGGCGGGGAGAACCCTAGCGAGATGCCTCCTCTTCTTTCCTGGCTTTGGACACAAGGGTAGGATATGGGAGGTTGGCAGGTGATGTGTAAGGTCCGACGCCTCTTAAGTGGAGGAGCCAGACTACGAACAGTCTTGTGGCCATGCGCATCTCAAGTGAACTACACTGGCAGGTAAAATGCCTTGGTCCAAAGGGCTCCAGGTGGAGCCAGCAGAGCACTAGCAAGGATGGGAAGCTCAGAGGCTTCCAGTGGCTTCCTTGTGAGACCAGGTGAGATTCTAAAGGATTTGACCAACTAGGCCTAGATGAACTCAGCGCCCCCGTGGTGCTAGGCTGGAGTGGATCAGACACCTGGTTTGGGAGGCTGGGCCCCCTGCTCTGGGGCGGCAGGTTACCCGGGAGTTTAGTTGTCACTGCCGTGGAGCTAGCACCTGAGTATCAGATCCTAAGTGAAGACCCCCAGTGAGTCAATGCCTAAAACCCCTAAGCCTTAGGATCTCCAGCCACCTGGGCCGCAGTATTGGAGAGAAGAGGGTGGCAATCCCTGTGATCCCACTGAAGCCCTGGCCTGGGGGAGACAGCTCCATGAAGCTTGGTTCTGACCCAGTGCTTCTGGGGAAACGCTGTCAGCCACTCTCAAGCCCCAGGCGCTTCATAGACCTATCTCAGGTCAAGAGCTGCTCTCTTTTATTTTTATTTTATTTTATTTATTTTTTTGAGACGGAGTCTCGCTGTCACCCAGGCTGGAGTGCAGTGACACCATCTCAGCTTACTACAACTTCCGCCTCCCGGGTTCAAGCAATTCTGCCTCAGCCTCCCAAGTAGCTGGGACTACAAGCAACTGCCACCACACTTGGCTAATTTTCTTGTATTTTTAGTAGCGATGGGGTTTCACCATGTTGGCCAGGCTGGTTCGAACTCCTGACCTTAAGTGATCTGCCTGCCTCGGCCTCCCAAAGTGTTAGGCTTACAGGCATGAGCCACTGCAGCTAGCCGTATGGCTTTTTTTTTTTTTAAGAGGTGGGGTCTCACTGAGTTGCCCAGGCTGGTCTCCTGGGCTCAAGTGATCCTCCTGCCTTGGCCTCCCAAACTGCTGGGATTACAGGTGTGAGCCACCGCGCCTGGCTACCTGTGATCCTTCAGAGAAGGGGGCAAGGGCTGGGCTGTACGGGGTCTCTGGGTCCTGAACCAGGGTTGTGACTGGCTTGAGCTGGACAATGCTATTGTGATGTCAGCCCACACCCACTGTGAAATGCAGGCTCCTGAGCTCTGGGGGCCTGTGGAGCTGCTGTCTAGACGCAGATCATGGTGAGCCTGGGGCCCTCTTGCTTCCAGCCCTGAGATGTGTGCCCAACTCCAGAAACCTGCCCAGTTGTCCAGGGATCGACCCCACTCCACTCGGAAAGGGTGGGCAATGGGTTGCAGACCCCCATATGGTACAAGGAAACCTTCTGGAAGGCTCTGGCTAGGTCTAATTCCAGGCTAAGGCCCCCGTCTCCAGCCAGAGATTAGTAGTCCTGGGGTGGGGGGCCCTAACCCCCACAGCTGCCCCCTCAAAGTGGGCGCTGAGCCAACCCCTTTACTTGAAGTTCTGTGGCCCACCTCCCTGCCAAAAGCTTGCTGGGCTCTCTTGCTCGGTATGTGGACCAGGGACTGGATCACTGTCCCAGCCAGGTGCTGACACCTGGCCTTTGCAGGGTGGCGGGTATGATCTCAACCTCTTCGCCAGCCCTCCTGACAGCAACTTCGTGTGCTCCGTCTGCCATGGGGTTCTCAAGAGGCCAGCAAGGTTGCCATGCAGCCACATCTTCTGCAAAAAGTGCATCCTCCGGTGGCTAGCCAGGTGCCAGCGGGTACCCAAGGGGCTGGGAGGGCAGGAGTGAGACTGGGGGCCATTGCTGTGGCCCAGAACAGAGGGGAAAGTCAGCCAAAAGACTCAGCCACCAAATCTCCCTAAACTAAAATGTGTGTACCCTCACTCAGTAGTGTCTGCAGACCCCGGCCCCACCCTCAGAGCTGAGAGCGCCCTGTAATATGCCCTAATGCCTCATCCAGCTAATGAAGGGACCACCTGGGTCACCGAGTGAGGGCTTGACCAGGGCTCCCTTCCCACTCCCAACACTCACCCCTACTCATGCCTCCTTCCAGACAAAAGACCTGTCCGTGCTGTAGGAAAGAGGTGAAAAGGAAAAAGGTTGTCCACATGAATAAACTCCGGAAAACCATTGGCCGCCTGGAAGTCAAGGTAGCTCAAAGTACCCACTCCCCTGACCCTCAACCCTTCTCACCCTTGTAGGGGTGGGGCAGGGCTAGGAGAGAAGGCAGGAGAATCCCATCTTCAGAGAGAAACAAGTGCAGCCTTGGGACGACCAGACATAGCTGAGTTTGGATCGTGGCTCTACTGCTTAGTTGCTGTGTGACTTTAGGCAAGTCACCTAACTTTTCCAAGCCCCTGGGTTAGAAAATGGAGATTTTAGAGGACTTTTAAAATGGAGATTACAGAGGATTTTTAGAGGATCAAGTGCCCAGTGTGCCTGCCACTACTCTCTAGTCCCCTAGTTTTACAGATGGGTAAACCGAGGTTAAAAAGGAAAGCCTGGCATCCATACCACTCACCAGACCAACCCAACTGTGTACCTTCCAGTTCCCCAAGACTCAGGCCTCACCCTCTCCCCTGGAACTTCTAGCTTCTTCCCACGTCTAGGCATTTGCCCCAGTGTTCTCTCCACCAACTCACCAGAGTCAGAAAAGCGTGGGAGGCTCCCGGTTCCCTGGTTCCTGGCGAATGGAAAGCCAGGGGTGGGGGATTCCGTGGGTGTCCTGCCCGGTTTCTTCACACGTTCTCCTTCACCCTCAGTGCAAGAACGCCGACGCTGGCTGCATAGTGACATGCCCCCTGGCCCATCGCAAGGGGCACCAGGACTCATGCCCCTTTGAGCTAACGGCCTGCCCCAACGAGGGCTGCACCTCGCAGGTGCCGCGTGGGACCCTGGCAGAGCACCGGCAGCATTGCCAGCAAGGGTCCCAGCAGCGCTGCCCCCTGGGCTGCGGGGCCACCCTGGACCCGGCCGAGCGTGCTCGCCACAACTGCTACCGGGAGCTGCACAACGCCTGGAGCGTGCGCCAGGAGCGCCGTCGGCCCCTGCTGCTGTCCCTCCTGCGGCGTGTGCGCTGGCTGGACCAAGCCACCAGTGTCGTTCGTAGAGAGCTGGCGGAGCTCAGCAACTTCCTGGAGGAAGACACCGCTCTGCTGGAGGGTGCCCCACAGGAGGAGGCCGAGGCTGCCCCAGAAGGCAACGTTGGGGCTGAGGTGGTGGGGGAGCCCAGGGCCAACATACCTTGTAAATAGGTAAATAAAAGCAGACCCCCGGCCTGCCTGCCTCTGTGCCTGCGGCCCTCACAACTGTCACCGGTGCATCCCTGCTGCCCTCTCCAGGCATTTGCCTGCTCTCTTTCATCTTTTCTTTTTCAAAGGAAGGAGGCCGGGCGTGGGTGGCTCACGCCTGTAATCCCAGCACTTTGGGAGGCTGAGGTGGGTGGATCACCTGAGGTCAGGAGTTCGAGACCAACCTGACCAACATGGCGACACCCCGTCTCTACTAAAAATACAAAAATTAGCTGGGCGTGGTGGCAGGCGCCTGTAGTCCCAGCTACTCGGGAGGCTGAGGCAGGAGAATGGTGTGAACCCGGGAGGTGGAGGTTGCAGTGAGCCAAGATCACACCACTTCACTCCAGCCTGGGCGACAAGAGTGAGACTCCGTCTCATAAAAATAAATCAATAAATAGGCCAGGCGCGGTGGCTCACGCCTATAATCCCAGCACTTTGGGAGGCCGAGGCAGGCGGATCACAAGGTCAGGAGATCAAGACCATCCTGGCTAACACAGTGAAATCCCGTCTTTACTAAAAAATACAAAAAATTAGTCAGGCATGGTGGCGGGCGCCTGTAGCCCCAGCTACTCGCGAGGCTGAGGTAGGAGAATGGCCTGAACCCGGGAGGCGGAGCTTCCAGTGAGCGGAAACCGTGCCACTGCACTCCAGCCTGGGCGACAGAGCAAGATTCCGTCTCAAAAAACGAGGCCGGGCGCGGGGGCTCACGCCTGTAATCCCAGCACTTTGGGAGGCCGAGGTGGGCCGATCACGAGGTCAGGAGATTGAGACCATCCTGGATAACACAGTGAAACCCCGTCTCTACTAAAAAATACAAAAAATTAGCCAGACGTGGTGGCAGGCGCCTGTAGTCCCAGCTACTCGGGAGGCTGAGGCAGGAGAATGGTGTGAACCCGGGAGGCGGAGCTTGCAGTGAGCCGAGATCACGCCACTGCATTCCAGCCTGGGCAACAGACCCAGACTGTCTCAAAAAATAAATAAATAAAAATAAATAAATAAGGGGAATACAAGAATGGCTACTCCATAGACAGAATACCTTTTTCTTCTTTTTTGAGACTGGGTCTTGCTCTGGCACCCAGGCTGGAGTGCAGTCACGTGATTACGGCTCACTGCAGCCTCAACCTCCCTGGGCTCAAGCAATCCTCCCACCTCAGCCTCCTGAGTAGCTGGGACTACAGGCACGCACCACGACTGCCGGCTAATTTTTGTGTTTATTTTAGAGATGGGGTTTCACTGTGTTATCCAGACTGGTCTCAAACTTCTGGGCTCAAGTGATCCTCCTGCCTCCAAAGTGTTGGGATCACAGGTGTGAGCCACCATGATGGCCTACTTTCTTTCCCTCAAATATCTCTCCTCTCAGAGATTTTCCCTGATCATACTTCTCAGTTCTCCTTCTCAGTTACTTTCGTTTTTTCATTTTTTTCTTTTCTATTTTTTGAGATAGGGTCTCTGTTGCCCAGGCTGGAGTGCAGAGGCCCAATCACAGCTCACTAGAAACTCAGCTTCCCAGGCTCAAGCAGCCCTCTCACCTCAGCCTCCAGAGTAGCTGGGACTACAGGCACACCACCACCCCTACTAAATTTTCTGTGTGTGTGTGTGTGTATGTGGAGACAGGGTCTCGCCATGATGCCCAGACTGGCCCAGTTACTTTTTTTTTTTTCTCTGAGACAGTCTTGCTCTATCGCCCAGGCTGGAGTGCAGTGACGTTGCGATCTTGGCTCACTGCAACCTCCGCCTCCGGGTTCAAGCGATTCTCCTACCTCAGCCTCCCGAGTAGCTGGGATTACAGGCACCCGCCACCACACCAGGCTAATTTTTGTATTTTTAGCAGAGACTGGGTTTCACCATGCTGGCCAGGCTGGTCTCGAACTCCTGACCTCGTGATCCACCGGCCTCGGCCACCCAAAGTGCTAGGATTACAGGCGTGAGCCATCGCGCCCGGCCTGGCTGTTACTTTCTACCAGCTTCAGAGCCAGTAGCACAAATGGCTCAAAACCTTGAACTCAGAGTAAAAGCTAACTCCTCGCCACGGCGCACAGGCAACTGCATGCCCTCTGCCCTCTGCACCCACTCCCTGCAGCCACCCGGCTTGTTGCTACTCAATGCTTGGCACCCCCAGTCCTAGGCCTGTGCCCTGGCTGTTCTCAACACCATTCGTTCCACAGGGCTCCCTGCTTCGCGAACTTGTGTCTGCTCAGGCGTCACCTTCTCAATACAGCCTCCTCCTTCCTCCCTTCCGCTCCCTCCCTTCTGTTTTTTTTTCTTTCTTTCTTTCTTTTTTTCTGAGACGGAGTCTCACGCTGTCACCCAGGCTGGAGTCCAGTGGCGCAATCTCAGCTCACTGCAGCCTCCGCCTCCGGGGTTCAAGCGATTCTCCTGCCTCAGCCTCCCAAGTAGCTGGGATTACAGGCATGTGCCACCACGCCCAGCTAATTTTTTTTTTCTGTTTTTAGTAGAGACGGGGTTTCTCCACGTTGGTCAGGCTGGTCTCGAACTTCCGACCTCAGGTGATCCACCCGCCTCGGCCTCCCAAAGTGCTGGGACTACTGGCGTGAGCCAACGCGCCCGGCCCTCCTCCTTTTTCCATCGCGCTCAGCAACTATCACTCGTCGCCCGTTCTGTTTCTTCTCTGGTGTCCGCCAAGTGCCGATTACAGTGCTTTGCACACAGAAGGTGCTCAATACATGAATGCCTTTGAGATTACCCGGTTTATTCATTTACCTACGTTATTTATCAAGAGCCACACTGCGAGCCCAGGGGCAGGGTCAGGTTGACGGCTCTACGCACGGACCGCACCCGACAGCTGGTACCCCCACATCCCAGAACGCCGAAAAGCAGGAGTAAACGCTGGCTACAAATGCCTTTTTATACTGGTATCAAAGAGCCAGGCCACCAGCGATGCCACATCCGCCGGTCTACCCCCACCGACCCGCGAAGCACCCTCACAGCTCACGGCCCTCCCTCCAGGCCGGAAACGTCTCCGCCCGCTTCCGCTTCCCGATGCAGCCGCCACTGCCCGAAGCAAAGATGGCGCCAAGTGCGCGGCGCCGGCGGGGACGTCACAGTGGTCGCGCGCGGTGACGCCATCGCAGCGCGCCGGGAGTGTGGCGTTCTGTGAAGAGTTCGGTGCTAACCTCCCTCACGCGGCGGTGGCTGCCGGGACCCTAGCAGGTTTCAGCTGGAGCGGCGGCGGCGGCAACATGGCAGAGACCGCGGCCGGAGTGGGCCGCTTCAAGACCAAGTGAGCCCGGAGCTCTGGGGCCGTGCGGGGAGGGAGCTGGGTTTGCAGCCGGCATAGCGGAGGCGCGCGTGGGGTGGGCACGCATTGGGGTCCGTGGAGGCGAGAGGCTGTGTGTGCGCCGGCCCGCGGGGTCGCGGAGGCTGCGGTGATACTAGGCGGGAGAGCCGGCCCCGGCTGCTCTCGGGGAGGACGGCGATCGGAGCCCGGCCGCCGGGAGCAGCAGCGTGGGCTCATCGAGAAGCCGGCTATGGGGTGGAGTGGGGACCAGAAGTCCCGATGAGGGGAGGAGAGGGCTGAGCCTAGGTCGGGGCTGGTCCCGGGAGGCGGCGGGGGCGAAGAACCACCTCTGAGCAGTCGGCCTGGGGACCTTTCATCCGCGATCCGTCTTCTCCAGGGAGCAGGGAGAATGCAGGAGAGGGGCGGGTCCGCAGAAGCCCAGGAGGCCCTGAGTGCTGTGCCCCGTCACTCCCCAAGCCTTTGCCGAACAGCAGTGCTGGTGCCCCCGCCCTGGCAGCGCAGCCTCATGGGATTATCGTTTCCACTGGCGGCTGTGGGGCTTTGGTTGTGCCAAGCACTGGTAAAGGAAAGTCCCAGGCTGGCAGCACCGTCGTGGGAGGGTCAACTGGGTGCGGGGGCTGAGGGGCCGCTTTCGTTTTGGCAGTCAGGCTTCCAGAAGCGCAGTGAGCCAGGCCTTGACATCTGGGAAGAGAAGCCCAGGCCGCGTACAGGGAATAGGGGGAAGATAGGAAACCCGTCCCAGAGGCTGGGACAGGAGCAGTGGGGTGCACTGTGGGCCATGAGAAGGAAAGAAAGCAGAGGCAAGGGTGGCAGAGGCTCTTCTGGGCAAGGTCTGGGAGGTGTGTGGGCAGAAGGGAGGGGCTAACGCAGGGCAGTGACATCTTCAGTTATGTTCTGAAAGGTACCTGGCAGCAGGGTTAAGAGGTAGGTAGGGGAGGCCGGGCGCGGTGGCTCACGCCTGTAATCCCAGCGCTTTTGGAGGCCGAAGCGGGCGGATCACGAGGTCAGGAGATTGAGACCACGGTGAAACCCCGTCTCTACTAAAAATACAAAAAATTAGCTGGGCGCAGTGGCGGGCACCTGTAGTCCCAGCTACTCGGAGAGGCTGAGGCAGGAGAATGGCGTGAACCCGGGAGGTGGAGCTTGCAGTGAGCTGAGATCGTGCCACTGCACTCCAGCCTGGGCTGGAGACCCCTTCTCAGATCGAGACCCCTTCTCAAAAAATAAATAAGTAAAAAGAGGTAGGTAGGGGGTCCAGTGAAGAGGCCAGAGTGGCTGGCCAGAGACTGTGATGGGCTGGACCAGGTGGAGGCAGTGGAGAAGGAAGGAGAAGGGGCACGAGTGAGGTCACAGAAATGACAGCTGCTCGTGGGACCCGGGCTCTGGGCAAGCCTGGGGATGGAGAGAGGAGTCAGGGAGGGGAAGAGGTATGCCAGACCTCAGGGATGAAGACACTGGGAGGATGTGCTCTGGGCTGGCTACCCAGGCCTGGCCACCCACCGCCGGCAGGGGTGTTCCCAAGGAGCCCCCTGGCTCTCACTGGGGAATCCCTGGAAGCCCTGGGCTGTTGGGCTGACTCCACCTGACACAGGCCCACCCCCTACTGCCTCAGGGATCACCAGCCAGCTGCGGGTCTCTACTTCTCAGTGACGACGGTAGCTACAGCCCCCTGCAGTACTGCTGGTTCCACCCCATGCCCTGTCCCTGCTGTTGCCCAGAAACTCAAGGGCAGGGGCCATTGGGGTCACTTGGAGAGGAGCACCTAGCACAGGGCGGGGCCCTGGGGACTGAGGGGGTGGGTGGTGCTCATTCGCCTCCCGCTCTCCTTCCAGCTATGCTGTGGAGCGCAAAATTGAGCCTTTCTACAAGGGCGGAAAAGCACAGGTACCAGCCTGGGGAAGGGCAGTGGGGCGGGCAGCCAGAGGCCGCGGGGGGTGCTGAATGTTGCCTGGCTGAGACCTCTCTGTCCCCAGCTGGACCAGACTGGCCAGCACCTCTTCTGCGTCTGTGGCACCAGAGTCAACATTCTGGAAGTGGCCTCGGGGGCCGTGCTGCGGAGTCTGGAGCAGGTGAGGGCAGCCTGGGTGGGTGAGGGGCAAGTGGAGAGGGCAGCCCACTCACACCGTGCTCGGCACACCACTCTTTCTCCTAGGAGGACCAGGAGGACATCACTGCCTTTGACCTCAGCCCTGACAACGAGGTATGTGGGGCGGGGCCTGGAGGGGACCCGCTCCAGCGCCTCCCTCCCAGACTGAGTCCAGGAAGATGTGAGCAGGGTATTGCTGCCCCTCTGCTGACCTGTACCCTCCCCCAGGTGCTGGTGACAGCCAGTCGGGCATTGCTGCTGGCTCAGTGGGCCTGGCAAGAGGGCAGCGTTACCCGCCTGTGGAAGGCGATACACACGGCCCCCGTGGCCACCATGGCCTTCGACCCCACCTCCACTCTGCTAGCCACAGGTAGGGCCCTGCCGTGCAGGTGGGTCGTGGGCACAGATGCAGGGGCTTTGGGCATTCCACCCCCTCACCTTGCTTCCCCGCAGGTGGCTGTGATGGGGCCGTGCGCGTCTGGGACATCGTGCGGCACTACGGGACACACCACTTCCGAGGCTCGCCCGGTGTCGTGCAGTGAGTTGGAAGGTGGAGGGGGAGGGCAGAGGCACCACCCAGGCTGCACAGCTCACCCATCCTGTCCCGTCCGCCCACAGCCTAGTGGCCTTCCACCCGGACCCTACACGCCTGCTGCTCTTCTCCTCGGCCACGGATGCCGCCATCCGCGTGTGGTCACTGCAGGACCGGTCATGCCTGGCTGTGCTGACTGCCCACTACAGCGCCGTCACCTCACTGGCCTTCAGCGCCGACGGCCACACCATGCTCAGGTCAGCAGTGGGCCCTGGTAGGAGGGGGAGGCTTGGAAAGTGGGGGCTGAGGCTAAGACTTGACCTGAGGTTGCCGTTGCTCCTTCAGCTCCGGCCGTGACAAGATATGTATCATCTGGGACCTTCAGAGCTGCCAGGCCACGAGGACCGTGCCTGTGTTTGAGGTGGGGATGCCTGGAGGCCAGGGCTGGTTGAGTTGGGTGGGGAGGGGGCATGATAGCAGCCTGTGACCCAATTCGTCTCCAGAGCGTGGAGGCTGCTGTGCTGTTGCCAGAGGAGCCAGTGTCCCAGCTGGGTGTGAAGTCCCCAGGGCTGTACTTTCTGACAGCTGGCGACCAAGGTGTGTTGGGCCGGGACATGGGCAGGCGGTAGGGGCTGGGGAAGGCCTGTGGACCTGAGAGTCTCAGCAGCCCTGTCCCCACCCACACAGGCACTCTGCGCGTGTGGGAGGCAGCTTCTGGGCAGTGTGTGTACACGCAGGCCCAGCCGCCGGGCCCTGGGCAGGAGCTGACCCACTGCACCCTGGCACACACCGCCGGCGTGGTCCTCACCGCCACCGCCGACCACAACCTGTTGCTCTACGAGGCTCGCTCCCTGCGGCTGCAGAAACAGGTGCACACCTGCCCTTGCTCAGTCTGGAGGCTGCGGGCACCAGCCCTCCTCTTACACAGGTCCTGGCTCACATCTCCTGCTCCCTGCCACCCCGCAGTTCGCTGGCTACAGTGAGGAGGTTTTGGATGTCCGGTTTCTTGGGCCCGAGGACTCCCACGTTGTCGTGGCCTCCAATAGCCCCTGCCTAAAAGTGTTTGAGCTGCAGACGTCAGCCTGCCAGATCCTCCACGGCCACACGGGTGAGTGGGGCCAGCCCACCTGACACCCTGGGAGCCGCCTCGGTCCCTTGCTTGCTTCCCTTCCCCCGTCTTGCTGTGTGACCTATACCTCCCCACAACATCTCAGATATCGTCCTGGCCCTGGATGTGTTCCGGAAGGGGTGGCTCTTTGCCAGCTGTGCCAAGGTGAGGCACCCTGAGAGGTAGGGGCAGGGGCACCAGGCGGGGAGGCCACGCAGTAGGCCCATGGACCAGCCTCTCTCCTCAACTCCCTGTCCCCAGGATCAGAGCGTCCGTATCTGGAGAATGAACAAGGCTGGCCAGGTGATGTGCGTGGCTCAGGGTTCCGGTCACACACACAGTGTGGGCACCGTCTGCTGCTCTAGGTAGTGAGTCGGGGCTGGGCCCAGGGGTGTCAGGGAGGTGGAGGCCCAGGCCTGCCAGCAGGGCTGCCGCTCAGGGAGCTGGGGAGGCAGTGGCAGCTTTGGCTTGCTCTGAGGCTCCAGCCCAAAGATGTGGAACAGAACAGGACAGGAGAGTCCCTAGGTGCCTCGGGGTCAGTCCTCAGAAGTAGCCCTGGTGAAGTGGTTAAAGGGGGAAGGGCATTAGGCAGAGAGAATGACCCTGCACGAGGCCCAGGTGGAGAGGTGACCCCTGCATGTAGGCACAGGGTCCTGTGGCTAGGGCTGAGCCACCCGGTGCTGCGGGTGGACAATGTAGACAGGGCTTGATCCTACAGGTGCCTGGGGGTGACCCAGGCCAACCCGCATCCTGGGACAGGCCCCGTGGTCTGGACCGTGGGCTCCCAGCCTGGCCCTGTGGGGAGCTGGCCATCAGGGCTGGCTGGGGCTCAGCTGTGTCTCCTCCTCTCCTGTTGGGTCACAGGCTGAAGGAGTCCTTCCTGGTGACAGGCAGCCAGGACTGCACTGTGAAGCTGTGGCCTCTTCCCAAAGCCTTGCTGTCCAAGAACACAGCCCCAGACAACGGCCCTATCCTCCTGCAGGCCCAGACCACTCAGCGCTGCCATGATAAGGTGACTCCATAGCCACTGGGGTGGGGGTGTGGCCAAGCCCTTGCTGGGGGAAGATGGGGGATTGCTGAGCCACCACCTTCTCCCATTGCCAGGACATCAACAGCGTGGCTATTGCCCCCAACGACAAGCTGCTGGCCACAGGCTCACAGGACCGCACGGCCAAGCTCTGGGCCCTGCCACAGTGCCAGCTGCTGGGTGTCTTCTCAGGCCACCGGCGTGGCCTCTGGTGCGTCCAGTTCTCTCCCATGGACCAGGTGCTGGCCACGGCCTCAGCTGATGGCACCATCAAGCTCTGGGCACTCCAGGACTTCAGCTGTCTCAAGGTAAGTGGCGCTCCAGACCCTCCCCACTTCCCGCCCTGGTGACATCTCATGCCCTACCCCCCACCTTGCAGACATTTGAGGGGCACGATGCTTCTGTGCTGAAGGTGGCCTTTGTGAGCCGTGGCACGCAGCTGCTGTCCAGGTGAGTGGGCTGGGGTGGGGCAGCGATGGAGTGGGGGGTGGCGGGGGGACCTGCCTGACGCTGAGCCTCTCCCCACCCCAAACCCAGCGGTTCGGATGGCCTCGTGAAGCTCTGGACCATCAAGAACAACGAGTGTGTGCGGACGCTGGATGCCCACGAGGACAAGGTCTGGGGGCTGCACTGCAGCCGGCTGGACGACCACGCCCTCACTGGGGCCAGTGACTCCCGAGTCATCCTCTGGAAGGTTGTGGGCCCCAAGGGCAGGGAAGAGTCGGGGTGGAGTGGAGGCCCCATCTGACCCTAGTCTAACCCCAGGATGTGACCGAGGCGGAGCAGGCAGAGGAGCAGGCCAGGCAAGAGGAGCAGGTGGTCAGGTAAGGCCAGGGCAGTGGCGCCCCTCCCCGCATCAGCCCTGCTCTGTGCTGTAGGGAAAACGAGGCTGAGTGCCAGGCTCCCTGCCTGCTGACTCCGATGGCTCTGCCTGCAGCCCCAGCCAGCGGCCCTCAGTGGCCTCTCCTCCCCTCCCCACAGGCAGCAAGAGCTGGACAACCTGCTGCATGAGAAGCGGTACCTGCGGGCGCTGGGCCTGGCCATCTCCCTGGATCGGCCCCACACCGTGCTGACTGTCATCCAGGGTCAGTGCCCACCCCGGGGGGCGAGGGGCTGGGTCTTCGGACCACTGGGCTCTGCTTTCCCCAGCTCAGCCTTCCCTTCTCCCACAGCCATCCGGAGGGACCCTGAGGCCTGCGAGAAGCTGGAAGCCACCATGCTCCGACTGCGGCGCGACCAGAAAGGTTGGCGGCCAGTCAGGGTGGGTGGCCCGGTGGGCAAGGGCCAGTCATGGCAGATTGGCTGGGCAAGACGATGAGGGTCCTGTTGCCCACAGAGGCCCTGCTGCGCTTCTGCGTCACGTGGAACACCAACTCGCGGCACTGCCACGAGGCCCAGGCCGTGCTGGGTGTGCTCTTGAGGCGAGAGGCCCCCGAGGAGCTGCTGGCCTACGAAGGCGTGCGGGCAGCGCTTGAGGCCCTGCTGCCCTACACTGGTATGTGGGCACAGCCTGGGGTTGGGGGATCCTGGTGGGCGTGTGGACCACCCCCCTGACCTCCCTCTGTCCAACCCCAGAGCGGCACTTTCAGCGGCTCAGCAGGACCCTCCAGGCCGCCGCTTTCTTGGACTTCCTGTGGCACAACATGAAGCTCCCTGTGCCGGCCGCCGCCCCCACCCCCTGGGAAACCCATAAAGGCGCACTGCCCTAGCCGGTCCGGCCTCTCTCCAGTCCATCCTGAACCCCTGGAAAACCCATAAAGGCCGCTCTCCTGGCCGGCTCTGTCTCTCTGGACTGCAGTCCAGCCCCCCACCCTGGCCAACACCCTACCTAGCCAGCCAGAAGGGCACTGGAGCTGATGGTCTCGGCCCTGCCACGCCCATCCCGCACCCTGGCCTGGCAGAGATCCAGCCCGCGGCTCCGCACGCTTAGACGGTGGGGGTCATGCAGAACAAGCTTTACTCAGAGGAACAGCAAATGGCCCCCTCCCATCCCTGCTGGCCAGGGAGATCCGCCCTCCCCGCTCCTCCCCAGCCCTGGGATGGCGCGGTCCATCCCCTCATCGGGATCCTCGCGCTCACTGCTCCGTCGTGGGGTGCGGCACAGAGTCCACGCACCCTCGAGGGCGGCCCTGGCGCCGTGGGCGCCGCTCCAGGGCCCTGCGTGTGACGGTGCAGCAGCGGCTCTGGATGGCGCCCGGCGAAGGTCGGGTGGGCACGGTGGGGGGAGGGGCGGTGGCCTGGGAGGGTTCAGGGAAGCCCCGGGCCTCACCCGCCGGGTCGTCTCCTCCACGGAACCCCGTCCCGCTCAGGAGAGCGCCCAGCCCTTCCGGCCGCAGCAGCACCGCGGGGAGTAGGCCCGCCCGGTCGCCGTACCTGCGAGGGGCGGGGTGTGGTTAGGGCCCCGCCCGCCTCGGCTAGCCTGCCCTGCCCACGCCCGCTCCCGCGTACCTGCATAGCCACCAGCCGCGGTCTGACGTTTCCAACACGCGCACGCGCGCCCCCGCGGGCACGGACAGCTCATCTGCGCGGCTGCTCTCGTAGGCGCGGGAAGCACAGAACTGGGGACCTGGTGGGAGTGGGTGTTTGGAGTCACCGCGGGGCCACAGAGGACGAGGCCCGCCCGCACCCTTCTCCACATTCTCCTTGCTTGAGTCTGCTGACGGCGGGGCCGCTCTAAGACCGGTTCGGGGCTTCCTCTAGGTGCGGAGACCAAGCACGGGCTCCTGGCCCGCCCTGCCCGCGGTGCTTCTGGCCCAGTCTTGCCACACGGTCAAGCCGCAGTGGTGGCGTGAGGGGTGGGGTTAGGCGCATACCGCTGCTCCCTAGGGACGGGCCTCCCTCCCGGCCTTGGCCCGGGGCCGCCTCCTCCAGGTAGGGCGCTGGAAACCAGGCGGTCTGCCGGTCTTCGTTCTCCACCAGCCACCAGCCTGTGCGCAAGAAGCGGGCAGGGACTCAAATCTCGAGGCTCCCTCGGGTCCAGGAGCAGAGGAGCAAATCCCTGGGTTCTTGGGGGGCCCTACCTGAGGGGTGCCGCAGCAGCACGTCCAGGCTCTCCTGGGCCTGCGCCTGAAAAGGCCTATCCCGCGTGTCCTGGGTACAGAAGGGCTGCAGGCAGCGCAGGCTCTGAGCCTCCAGACTGTGGATGGAGAGGCGGCCCGCAGCGCGAGAAAGAGGCTGCTCCTCTGGGGTGGGCAGGATCACCCGGCTGGGAAGGGCAGCCCGTACGAGTGAGAGGTAGGCGGATGGGGAGGGTGAAACTGGGGGCGCCACCCCGGCAAGACCGCCAGCCTCCCACTCTCTGCCCCTATTCGCTGGCTGTTCCCCCCCACCCTGGACCTCTCCCAGCTCCAAACGCCGCTGCATGCTGGGAGTTTGGGGCGAGTCAGGCACCTGCCGGGTGGCAGCGCGGGCTCCAGGTCCAGGGGTTGCGGTGCGAAGAAGCCAGTGATCGTCGGGCTCCGTGCCACGCGCTCTGCAGTCGCCAGCAGCCTCCGAGAATAGGTTTCCAACAGCTGCAGGCGCGCCAGGCCGCGGCTCGTGCGCCCCACGCGTCCCAACAGTGGTGCATCTTAAGGCACCACAAAAACGTACTGTGATACGCCGCTTTGGGCTTCACTGGTCCCTGGCGCCCCCAGGCAAGCCACCGCCTTCCCCGCTCCCGTACCCAGGCTGGCCTGACCGAGAAGCTTTGGGAGAACGCGGTCAGATCTCCGCAGCAGGCCCGCCTCCACCGGGAAGGTCTCCTTGAGGGTCTTCTGAGGGCGGGAACCAGGGCATTGGTCTTCCAGAGCCCACTGTGCACCCTTGAGAGGGCGGGGTCCCTCACCCGGATGGCAGGGGCTGGGAGCTTCAGCAGGGACGAAGGGCCTCCAGTGGGAGTCACTGATGGGAGGCAGTCCAGTGGGAGGCAGCCGCGTGGGGAAGCCGCCACCGCGGCATCAGGGTGGCCCAGGGTCACTCACCTTGAGCTGCCTGAATTCGTCCCAACTCCTGCGCACGAAGGTGTCGCTGCCGTCTGACCAGCGCACAGAGAAGGCAAACGTCTGGGGGACAAAAAGTTGGGAGTGCCGTGGAGGTGCTGGTCCAGGCACCCCCTTCCTATCCCTTGGGGCCACTAAGGACCCAGCCAGGTCTTACTTGGAGCCTCTTGATCTGCACCAGGGCTGCCCCTTGCACTGAAACTGGGTATCGGGGGCCTGCCATGGCTGTGGCTTCCAGGCTGCAGATTCCTGAAATGGGCGAGGACCCTTCTGCCTCCCCGTGCTTGAGAGGGCTCTGGGGGACCCAGAAAACCCCCTGGGATAGAATCCTGGCAACACCTCAAGCCTGTGGGGTCCTTGTGGAGCCGCCCCAGCTGAGTCCTTTGCAGCTTTCTTGCTGTCCCCCAAGCCCACGATCTGGGGGCAGGAGCACAGGGATTGGGGGACTTCCAGGCAGAGCTGCTGGGAGGAAGAAGAAGAATGAGCTTTCCAGCCCTGGAGGCGTGCAAGACTGAAGAAGGGGCGAAGGGTAGGCGGGACTGCTGCCTGGGGCCCTCCTGCCTGCCTCTGGCCACAGGAGGAGGGAGGAGAAGGCAGGGCTAATCAAAGCGCCACCTGTCCTGCCCACCTCTCTGGATTCCCCTACCCTGTGAGGTAATTGCCCTGCCAGGGTGCGCCCAACAACTTTGAACTGGCCTGGGGATTTCTGTGCAGAACCAAGGACTCAGTGCTTACAGCTTTAAGTGCTTTGTCTGACTTAATCCTAATGCTGGAGGAAAGGTCTCTTAATGTCCCCAACTCATAGAGGAGGAAATGTGTGTTAAATGCGTAATTATTGTGAGCTGTTCTATACATGCTGGGGGAGGGGCAGACCTCACAGGCTCACCCCAGGGGTTCCCCTGCAGTGAGGAGACTTGGGGTAGGAGAAAGAGGGCCCATCTGTGCAGTCACTGGCATTTGGTGGGTGGGGGTGGTGGTCAGGGAAGTGGTCACTAGGGCTGTTTTGAGAACCACCTCTCAATTCACGATTTGCCATGACTTACTGCAAACATGGCCTGGGCAGAGGCTCGCCCAGGTGCCCCACCTCTCTGGCTGCTTCCTTATAGTTCGGGCTTCGGAAGCCACATTCAACCCTGGCACACAGTGGTTTTTCCTCGTGCTGGGGCCACCAGTTCTGTGTTGGGATGCACCTACTCCAGCCCCTTCAGGGAGCAGTCAGCCTCTAAGGCATCCCTCCAGGAAGCTGCCCTGGCTGCAACAAAGGGCCTTTGTGTGTCTGTCCCACCAGCACTCTCTCTCATGCCCTCAAGCTGTCCCTGGTCTTGGCATGGGCAATGAACACCTGCTCACATAGGGCTGATTTGCAGGGTTCCCCCAGCCAGCTGTCACCTTCTCCCTGTCTCAGCTGAGGGCCCAGCTGACCTGGTGGGGTCCAGCGTGTGAACCCAGGGGAGACCTTGCTCCCCTGGAAGACAGGAGAAGCTGGGGAGGATTTATTCACAAGCAGAGGCCTAGAGGGATTCTGAGGCCACCTGCCTACCCCAGCTGACAGCTCCTGCCCCACACCCCATCAGCCCTGCATGGTTTCCACTTTTTCCTCCCCTACCCTCTTTTCTTGCCTGAATAGTACACCCCACCCTCCATCTGTATGCTCCTCACTTGCCCCTACAAAATCCACTCCAAGGACAGACACAGTGCCTCACCTGTAATCCAAGTACTTTGGGAGGCCGAGGCAGGGGGATTGCTTGAGCTCAGGAGTTCGAGACCAGTCTGGGCAACATGTTGAGACCTCCATCTGTGCCCCCCAAAAATACAAAAATTAGCTGGGCGTGGTGGCGTGTGCCTGTAGTCTACTTGGGAGGCTGAGGTGGGAGATCACTTGAGCCTAAGCAGTCGCGGCTGCAGTGAACAAGATCGCGCCACTGCACTCCACCCTGGGTAACGGAACAAGACCCTGTCTCAAAAAAAAAAAAGAAATCCACTCCCCATATGATAGCCAGCGGAATCTGCAGCAAACTGAAATGGGATCAGATTGGGTAACCTTGCCCAAAACTGTCTAGCATCTTCCCTCCTACCGTTATAATAAATTCCCAATCCCCGAAGCTGCCGACCAAGTCTTTGGTGGGCCCCTGTCCGTCCCTGGATCTCCCCTCCCACCTTACAACCCTCCCTAGCGTCCCACTGGCGTTTTTGTTCCTGCAAAATGCCAAGACCCTGCCACCTTGGGCTTGGTCTCGAAGGCGCTCCTCAGCTGATTCCTCATCCTTCAGAAAGGGTCACCTCCTCAAGGAGGCCTTCCAGATTTACTACACCCTTGCATGGACCCACCAGTTTGTACGTGAACATTTATGAGTGTGAGTCCTTGTTTTTTTTTCCTGTCTTGACCACTGGATTATGAACAGAGAAGGTCAGGGAACAGAATTGTGTTCCCTGCTCTGCCCAGCACTTGGAACAGCGCTTGGAACAGAGCGGTCACTGCGCAAATAATAGCGGAATGGATAAATGAACGCAAGGAGGCACAGGAATCCCAGAGGCCGCTCCAACCGGGAGCCCGACCCCTCATCCCAGGCTCTAGGATCCGCGACAGCCGGCGAGGGGCGCCAGGGAGCCCAAGGCACGCGCCAACCCTCTGCGGCCGCGCCGCGCCCTGCGTTGCCAGACGCCCGTTGCCATGGCGCCAGGGAGGGGACAAGAGCCCAGGACCCTAGCGCGCGCCGCAATCTGTGCGGTCACGCCCGGCCCGCGTTGAGAGAGCGCTTGGCAGCCAGCGGGTGGACGCGCCCCTCAGCGGAGGGCACAAAGCCTGGCCGCAGGCACGCAGGACACTCAGAACGGAGCGATGGGGACGTCGCGGGCCGCAACACGGACTTTGCCTGGGTGTCAGCTCGGGTCCACAGCGCGGCCGAGGCGCACCTTGCGCCACACACTGCTCTTTTACTGGAGAAAGCGGGACGGCCGCCACGGACGGCGCAACCCCTGCGTGCGCCGCGGATCGACGCCTGAGGGCGCCAGCAGGGTCCGACCCTCCTGCTCCGTCCCCGCCCCTGTCCTCGGGCCCGGCCAGCGCCGCGGCCTCTGGCTCCGCCTCCACACGGGCCCGCAAGCAGGCACCGCCCCCGACTCTGCCCCCAGCCCCGGCTCGGGCCCGGCCCCCGCGAGCACGGCGCGCGCCTCCGGCTCCTGTGGCCGCGCGCTGGCCTGGAGGCTGACCTGGAGGCTCATCTGGAGGCCGAGCTGACCCGGCAGGCCTTGCGCGGGCAACATGGCGGCGCCCGGCGAGCGGGGCCGCTTCCACGGCGGGAACCTCTTCTTCCTGCCGGGGGGCGCGCGCTCCGAGATGATGGACGACCTGGCGACCGACGCGCGGGGCCGGGGCGCGGGGCGGAGAGACGCGGCCGCCTCGGCCTCGACGCCAGCCCAGGCGCCGACCTCCGATTCTCCTGTCGCCGAGGACGCCTCCCGGAGGCGGCCGTGCCGGGCCTGCGTCGACTTCAAGACGTGGATGCGGACGCAGCAGAAGGTGCAGTTCCCTGCCCGATTTCTCCCAGCCCCGCGCAGCCCCTGTCCCCGCCCCCGCCCAGGTACCCCGGCAGAGCTTCCCAGGGTTGCCTGTCCCTGAACCTTGCCCCCCGGGTAGGCCCGGCCTTACAGCCTTCATCCGCGCGTGGGTTGGATCGTCTGCAGGACTTTGGCCGGAGTCCAGTGGGCCACCGGCTGGGCCGTACAGTGGGGAGCTTTGGGCGCCTTTGTTCGGAGAATGAACTCACTCTCGGTCGGCCTGCTTCCGCAGCGGGACACCAAGTTTAGGGAGGACTGCCCGCCGGATCGCGAGGAACTGGGCCGCCACAGCTGGGCTGTCCTCCACACCCTGGCCGCCTACTACCCCGACCTGCCCACCCCAGAACAGCAGCAAGACATGGCCCAGTTCATACATTTATTTTCTAAGTTTTACCCCTGTGAGGAGTGTGCTGAAGACCTAAGAAAAAGGTAAGATGTGTTTGCACGCAGCAGAGCTTTGCACTGGAGCCTGGGCCTGGGGCTCCTGGCTGACGTTATAGCGGGGAACGTAGAGAAACGGATGCAGAGGTGGCAGAAGTTTGCTGAGGAGCAGGGACCTCCAACAGGTGAGGACTGGGGCTATCTGAGCCTCCTCCTCTCGTCTCAGAAGCCAAGCTGTCGGGATCTGCTGCTGGGTACTGCTCCTGCCACAGCCACAGGGCTTCCAGGAAGGGATTCCCTGCCTTGTCTGGCACTGAAGGCGGTTTCCCGCAAGTTAGGGAAGACTCCACTTTGCCTGACTTCTAGAGTAGGACTTCTGGTTTTAAAATCTTGGAAATCCACTGCTTTTGCTCCCAAGAGCCATCTCTTCCTCACTGAGGGATCCAAGAGCCAGCACTGGCCCTTGCAGGTGTTTCTAGGCCAGATGTATAGGGTAGAGCCGCCATTGTTGCTATAAGGCTGGTCAGTTAGAATGAAGTCTCTTGCTGAACTGACGCACCAGGGCCTGCCCTCAGATGCTAAGAAACAAGTCCAGTTTTCAGTTACAAGGCTGTGCCCAGCCCCACCCAGGCCACACTCTGCCTGAGGCCAGGGACACTGGATGCCGCTTCCTGGGTGTTAGGAGCTTATAAAATTGCCAGGTCTGTGCTGTAATGTGTTGCCTTGAGGCCTCGTTGGAGTTTGCCAAGCTGTCCAGGTGGGTGTTTGCGCAGCCCTGGGAGTTCATCACACCCGGGGAGCTGCAGGGTCAGCCCTGTTCTGGGAGTGCCTGTACCTTGGAGCATAAGGGCACTCCCAGGTGTAGTTCACAGCAGTGCCCCAGCTCTCCTTCCTTGACAGCAGACAGGGAACTGGCAGGGGCAGTGGAGCCGCTGCGTCCTCTCATTCTTTACCTGCTCTCCCTACACAGGCTGTGCAGGAACCACCCAGACACCCGCACCCGGGCATGCTTCACACAGTGGCTGTGCCACCTGCACAATGAAGTGAACCGCAAGCTGGGCAAGCCTGACTTCGACTGCTCAAAAGTGGATGAGCGCTGGCGCGACGGCTGGAAGGATGGCTCCTGTGACTAGAGGGTGGTCAGCCAGAGCTCATGGGACAGCTAGCCAGGCATGGTTGGATAGGGGCAGGGCACTCATTAAAGTGCATCACAGCCAGAGCCTGTTGTGTCTCAGTTGGGTGGTCCCCAGGACACTGCCTGTGGGGACCTGCCCTGCCCCTCTTAGGTTTGGAGCAGAAGTGGAGGTGCCCACAGCAGGTACCCACTGGCCCCCTCCTCAGTGGAGACCCCAAGGAGCTGCAGCTGAACTGCAGGGGAGGGAAGGAGGAGCAGCCTGGGCTGCCCCTTGACATTCAGGATGTAGCTTCCTGCCCACCGCATACCCTGGCGCCTCACTCCTCACACGGGAAGACAGCGGGCCTGGCTGGGCATCCCTGTGCCTGTCCCTGGCGGCCAGGCCATTGCCTTCCCACTATGCAGCCAGGGATGCCCCTGCCCCCCATGGCTCTGTGCTGCTCACTTTAGGGGGCTCAATTCTCCACTCTGCTCAGTCCCTACAGGGAAAGCTCAGGTCGGGTCTTTCTGAGGGTCCACCAGCCATCCTACCCTCTCCCTGCCTGGCACATGCCTGCCAGCGTTGTGTCATGCCTGTCCACAGGGGATTCGTGGGGCTCACTTCATCAGAGTTTGAAGCCCAAATGAAACGCTGAAGTGACTGAGAACCTGGCTTCAGTATATTTTCTGCTGGGGCTTAATAAAGCAGTAGACAGGGCTTGTTCCATCCCTCTGTGCTCAGCTGCATTTCCTGCTGGGGTCCTGGTTCCTCAGGAGAGAGAGACCACAGGGTGAGAGTGAGCCAGGAACAGCAAGGACGTTGATTGGTTGGGGCAGGGGGGCCAGAGTAGCTGATGTAGGAGTACTGGGAGGCCAGACGGCACGAGGTCTCCAAGGCCCCAGCAAAGCCATGGCTTCTACCCCTAGTTCCCCTGACAGGAAGTTCTTGGCGGGTTTGGAGCCAGGGGATGGCATGGAGTGATGTGGCTTTGAAGGGTCCTCTGGCTGCTGAGCTGGGATGAGGCAGGTAAGGGTGGAACAGGAGGGGTGGGGAGGAAGCCGGGGCAGTCACCGAGTGACCACCAAGAGGAAGACCCACCCCACGGCGGGGACAGATGCGGGGTACGTTAAAGGGAGAGCCAGAGAACTCATGGGGTGAGGATGGAGTCCGAGGAGACTGCTGGGAGCCGCCGTGTGGGTCAGAGATGGAGAAGGCTGAGTGCAGCAAGGTGGGGGGTGACTGGGACCCAGCCTTTGGGCCTCCCCAGCCAGAGCAGCCCAGCAACAGTGTGTCCTGTGGTCATAAAACTCCAGGGACCTCTATCCTCCAGGAGTCTCAGCCTTTCCCTGGGCGCAGGCCCACCTTGGCATGGCCGCCTCAGGCCTCCATGGAGGGAGCTGCTATGTCCCCACCAGATTGGCCCCGTGCGGCTGCTGGCTTCTGTAGAGGCTGCCCAGAGGGGCCAGGTGGCACAAATAAGAGAGGGGAGATGGGGGGCAGCCAGGAGAGGAGGTGTCCCTTCCTCGCCCAGACACAGCGCGCTTCTCTCTGGCCTTTCCCGAGGCCTGTGAGTGCCTCAGGAAGCAGCTGGGCCCTCTGGGAAGGCTGTGTTCAGCTTAGGAACATACCGCCTGTATCTGCTGTCCCTCCCCTGCCCCCCTGCCCCCCCCACCGCCTTCCCTTTTTCCCTGTCTTCCTTAAAGTTTCACTCCTGAATAAAACTTCACTTTGCCTTAGAATCTGTTTTTCTTTTTGTTGTTGTTTTGTTTTTCTGAGACAGAGTCTAGCTCTGTCGCCCAGGCTGGAGTGCAGTGGAGCAGTCTCGGCTCACTGCAACCTCCATCTCCCGGGTTCAAGCAATTTCTCCTGCCTCAGCCTCCCGAGCAGCTGGGATCACAGGCGCCCACCACCACCCCCTGCTAATTTTTGTATTTTTAGTAGAGACAGGGTTTCACTGTGTTGGCCAGGCTGGTCTTGAACTCCTGACCTCATGAACCACCCACCTCAGCTTCCCAAGGTGCTGAGATTACAAGCGTGAGCCACTGCGCCAGGCCAGAGTCTGTTTTTGAAGGCATCCAGGCCAGTGGAACTCTAGTGCAAGGAAAAGTTCTGGCTTGAGCTGGTGTTCCAGAGCTGTTGACACGCAGACCAAAGGAGTTAGCACAGAGGGAGAGACCTCCCCAGGATCGCGCCCTGGGCTCCTAAGGCTCACAGGTCACAGAGGAAGGACCCATGAGGGAGGAGGACCTCCAGGAGGGGCATAGTGGCTCACGCCTGTAATCCCAGCACTTTGGGAAACCAAGGTGGGCAGATCACTTGAAGTCAGGAGTTCGAGACCAGCCTGGTCAACATGGCGAAACCCCGTCTCTACTAAAAATACAAAAAAAAAAAAAAAAAAAATTAGCTGGGTGCGGTGGCACACCTGGAATCCCAGCTACTCCAGTGGCTGAGGTAGGAGAATCACTTGAGCCCCTGAGGCAAAGCTTGCAGTGAGCCAAGATTGCGCCACTGCACTCCAGCCTGGGTAACAGAGTGCGACTGTAACTCAAAAAATAAATAAATAACTAAAGAAATAAATGAGTCGACAGCAGCATCAGACTTGCCCTTGGGATTGGCACGGAGAGGTCAGTGGCAACCTTGAGTTTAGGTGGCGGTGGGAGCTGATTCTGCCGGGTCAGAGGGAGAGAGAGGAGGGTGTTGCAGGCAGAGTTTGCTGCTAAAGGAAGCAGTAACGTAAGGCAGCTGGAGGGGAGGTGGGGTCAACAGTGTTTGGCTTTTAGGAGAAAGTGCAGCATGTCTGGGTGCTGATGTTAGTGATGAAGTAGAGAATGAATGACACAGAGGGGAGGTCTGTGGCCAACAGGTGAGAGGGGTTGTGATCGGACGCACAGTGTGATGGACTTGGAACACAGTGAGTAGCGCCTCTGGCAACACCTGCTCTGCCCACCTGTGCCCAGCAAGGCTGAAGAATGAGCTCCAGGGGGGCTGGGCCACGCAGCACCATCTGTGCACCCGGCTCGTGTAGCAGGGACCTGGGTTGCTTATTATCTGAAGTACAGGGTGGTAACAGTCTCCGCCACTACACAGGTCAAGCGCTTGGCGCTGTAAATGTCAGTGCAGACATCTCAGTGCTCTAGACAGAAACCTAGGAGTCATCTGAACTTCCAGCCTGCTAGGAACATGAGGAGAGGGACCTTGTTGCACCCAAGGCTGGGGTCTGTGGAGGGGACTCAGCGGGACACAGGGCAGCCAGGCACCACCCCCACCCGACTCCTAGTCTCTGATGCCGCTCCCTGCCCTCCATTCCAGACTAGGCGCCGCAAGTACGCTGGGGAGACCCAGGAGTAGGGAGGGCATTGGGAGCACCACCACCTGGCCACGGGCAAGGAGCGGAGACACCGAAACCAACACTCCCAGCGGCGCTGGCCACGGTGGCTCTGTCCCCTCCCTCAACAGGTGCTCCTGGGGCCAACGCCTTTCTTCCCACCAGATCCTCCCCGCCAGAGGCTAGAAGCTGTGATAGCAGCTAGAGCACAGTGGGGGGCCATGAGAAAGACCCCAGTTATCCATCTGGTCTTCTTGGGACCAGGGCCAGGGAGCCGGTCCCCTCTCCCGTGGGTTGGGGGAAGATGCTGCAGCCCGTGGACCTCCTACCCCTTTACTCCCTCACCCAAGTGCCCTTCCCAGAGGAGCGGACTCCTCCTGTCTGTCCTCCCGGCTCTAGCAAAGTCTGCGCCCAGCACCCGAGCCCCACCCTGCCCCCGGGGACCTGGCTGGTGGGTTCCTGAGGATGGTCTCCATCTCGGGACCGGGGCAGGCAGGTGAGGGTGGGGGATGGGAGGTGGGCGCGGCGGAGGGAGAGGAGGGACCCGGCCCCGCGCGCATGGACCCAGTGGGGGGCGCGGGCGCGGCCCCGCCCCGTCCCGCGCGTCCCCGCCGCGGCCGGCGCGCGCTCCCGGGAGGCGGCAGCGGCTGCAGCGTTGGTAGCATCAGCATCAGCATCAGCGGCAGCGGCAGCGGCCTCGGGCGGGGCCGGCCGGACGGACAGGCGGACAGAAGGCGCCAGGGGCGCGCGTCCCGCCCGGGCCGGCCATGGAGGGCGCCTCCTTCGGCGCGGGCCGCGCAGGGGCCGCCCTGGACCCCGTGAGCTTTGCGCGGCGGCCCCAGACCCTGCTCCGGGTCGCGTCCTGGGTGAGTGGTCCCTGCCCGGGCCCCCGCTCCCGCCCCTGCCTCGCGACCTTCAGGCCCCTACCAGCCCCCTGCCCCCTACCCCCTGCCCCCTGCTTCTCGCCCCCCGACCTCACTCACTCTCATCCTCGCCGGCCCCTCCCCCGCCGGCCTCAGGTTGGGGTGACGTCACCGGGCAGGGCGCGCCCACCTGCGGGCGGAGGAGGGGCCGGCGGCGCCGGAGAGGGACCTTGAGAGGTCACCGCCGGTCGCCTCTACCCCTACCTCCTCCCCGGGTCTAATTTCAGTCCCTTTCCGCAGCCCTTACTCCGTTTTTCCTGTTCTCGTGACCTGGAAGCAGGGACGGGGTGGGGACGGAATTCTCCGAGGGGCAGGAGGGGGCTACGGGAACCGAGAAGCGCCTCCCCTTCCCCCGCACACACACCCTCGGGTCTCCTTGGCAGGGAGCCTGTCCCCTGGCCCCCAGTTCCAGCTGTGAGTTGAGGGAGGAGAGGCTCTGGGCTGGGAGGGCTTCCTGGCGGCGGTGTGGAAGGCAGGTTTGGGAGCAGCCTAGCCCACTGGGGCGTCCCTGGGAGGGCCCTGCTGCTCCTTCCCTCCGGCAGGGGAGGTGGCAGTTGGGTGCCGAGCTCTGGGTTTTGTCCAGGTGGCAACCTCTGGGCCAGCCGCACCTCGGCGCCTGTCTTGGAGGAGGGCGGTGCCCACGGTGGGGCAGGGGCTTTGGCCTCCCCTGCGGAGTGGCTCTGACCAGACCGGGAGGCAGGACGCTGCGTTTTGGTCCGAGCGCACGTCCCGACTTGTGGCCCACTCTTGGGGACAAGTGCATGTCCCGGCTTCCCCCTTGGCTCCACTCTCGGAGCTGGAGCGGGAAAGGAGCGAAGGGATGAGGTTGAGGCTGGAGGTCGTTTCTTGGAAACACAGGGCTGCCCCGTGCAGCGCTGGTTAAAATGACTGCGGTCCCCCTCATGCCTGTCTCCCGGAACTGGTGGGCAGGAGGCATTGAGGTTTGACGGAACCTCAGAGGTCAACGGTGTCATCTTTTCAGCCCAAACACTTACAGGTGATATTAATAATCAGTCACGTGGGGGCTGTCATCCCTCGGGTACCCACCACGTGCAGGAAGCTGGGTGGACATGTCTGTCCCAGCACTGCATGAGCTGTGCCCGTCACCCTATTTGCATGCTAGAAAACAGGCCAGACAGTTCCCAACCGCGCAGGAAGCAACAGCTCCGCTGCCTCCATACCCTCCCTCCCGCCCCGCTCTGCCTGCTGCACTCTCACCTCCCCTTCGCCGTTCCGGCTCCAGCCTGGGAATCGCGGGCCCAGGTGAAGGCTCCTGTTCCCACACTCTTGAGTGGGCTCTGAGGGGACTCCACGGGCCCACGCGGTGCAGAGTACCTGGCTTGAATCAACCCCGGCTTTTGTCAGCCATGTGATCCCGGACAAGTCACTTCACCTGTTGGGGTCCCAATGTCCCCCGCATTTATAAAGAGAATAAGAACAATGGCGATCCCACGGGGACTTTCTGAGGATTTGGTGAGGGGACGCATGTAAAGTGGCTGTTTAACACAATGTCTGGGCATAGTAGATGCTCACTAAACGGCCCGTGTTGTCAATAATTACTAAATACGCGAGGGTTCGGGAAAGAAAGAGGTGACACCGCCCCCCACCCAGATACGGGCCTGGGAACGCAGGGACAGGCCCAGGGGCGTGGGCGCTCGAGGCGGGCTCGCAGAGGTCGGGTCGCCGCAGGGCCCTGAGCGCCGCGCCGCACGCAGGTGTTCTCCATCGCCGTCTTCGGGCCCATCGTCAACGAGGGCTACGTGAACACCGACAGCGGCCCCGAGCTGCGCTGCGTGTTCAACGGGAACGCGGGCGCCTGCCGCTTCGGCGTCGCGCTGGGCCTCGGAGCCTTCCTCGCCTGCGCCGCCTTCCTGCTGCTCGATGTGCGCTTCCAGCAAATCAGCAGCGTCCGCGACCGCCGGCGCGCGGTGTTGCTGGACCTGGGCTTCTCAGGTGGGCGGGGCCGGGGCGGTGAGCGCGGAGAGCCTTCCGGGTGGGCGGGGAGGGGGCGGGGCCTGGGCGGGGAACACCGCTGGAGTTTCCAGCTGGGCGTGGCCGTGACGAGGGGCGGGGACTGAGGCAGGGAGTGTCAATGGGCCTCCCGGGTGGGCGGGGAGGGGGCGGAGCCTGGACGGGGAGCGCCGCGGGACTTTCTAGGTAGGCGGGGCCCGGGTCTGGGCGGAGCCTGGGCGCGGAACGGGTCTGGCGCTCCCGGGTGGGCGGGGTCAGCGCAGGAGAGGGAGGCGGGACCTCGCGCCACGCGGCGAGCCCAGGCGAGGCGCCCCAAGCCTCGGGCCCACCGACCTTTCCTCCTCCGGGCGAGGCCGCCGTGGGCCACCGCGTGGAGCGTCGCCCTGACGCGCCGCACTGTTCGCAGGACTCTGGTCCTTCCTGTGGTTCGTGGGCTTCTGCTTCCTCACCAATCAGTGGCAGCGCACGGCGCCAGGGCCGGCCACGACGCAGGCGGGGGACGCGGCGCGGGCCGCCATCGCCTTCAGCTTCTTCTCCATCCTCAGCTGGGTGAGTGCGGGGCCCGGGAGGGCGGGGCGAAGGGGCGGGCGCTCGGCTGATCCCGGCTGACCCCGCTGACCCCGCCCCGCGCAGGTGGCGCTCACCGTGAAGGCCCTGCAGCGGTTCCGCCTGGGCACCGACATGTCACTCTTCGCCACCGAACAGCTGAGCACCGGGGCGAGCCAGGCCTACCCCGGCTATCCGGTGGGCAGCGGCGTGGAGGGCACCGAGACCTACCAGAGCCCGCCCTTCACCGAGACCCTGGACACCAGCCCCAAAGGGTACCAGGTGCCCGCCTACTAGCGGCTGGCAGGCACAGACCAGGGCTCCAAGGCCACCCCACCAACGCAGGCCCCAGGGTCTCCGGGACCTCCCTTGGGTCCTTCCAGCTCAGTGCCGCGGACAGAGTAGGTGGCCGCTTTGCGCCATCCGGGGCCAAGAGGGGGTGGACCCGCGTGTCTGGGCTGCCCCTGCCAAGTTCCCCCAGTCCCTCAGCACCTGGCCCCAGGACTGAGGTCCTGAGAAGGGGATAGCACTGCCCAGGACGTGTGTCCCTAGCCTGGAATGGACTGGCCTGGGGAAGGCTTTCCCCTCTTGGGCCACACCTGCTCACTCTGGGGTTGGGGGTCCAGCTGCCCTCTACGATCAGGTGCAGGGGCTGCCCAGGACAAAGCGGGGGCAGGGGAAAGACACCACCCTCGCCCCAAGACTGGGGATCCTGGCCACTGTTCCCATCCCATGTCCCTGTGGGTAGTGACTGTCTCGTTTCTGTCATGGTGGTGCGTCCCGTCCGGAGCCACTCTCCACTTTCTCTCACAGGCTGCTAGAACAGCCCAGCCCTGTCAGTGTTGTGATCATGGTCCAGTCTTCGGGTTTCACCTCCTAGTACTCCACAAGCTGCTCCTCTCTCTGTGGCCCCGGCCCCTGCCCAGGTGTGGGTGGTTCTGGCCAGGAAGGCACAAGGTAGCTGTGGGCCAAGACACCAGCCCTGTCCTAGCCCTTCAGTAAGACCTTGCCAGGAGAGGAGAAGGATGCCTGGGTGCCAGGCAAGACAAGCCCCTCAGCAGGAGAGAGGCCCAGAGGCTCCAGCTGGCCACCGTGCCCCACAAGATGGCCCCTGTGTGGTTCCCTTTACCTTGGCTTCCTGGCCCAGTCCCTGCCTCTCCACCTGCACCCTGCTTCCTGGCCCAGTCCCAGGTTGGAGTCCCTCTGCATAGCTGACTACTCATGCATTGCTCAAAGCTGGCTTTTCACATTAAGTCAACACCAAACGTGGTTGCCACATTTCATCAGACAGACACCTCCCTCTGGAGATGCAGTTGAGTGACAACCTTGTTACATTGTAGCCTAGACCAATTCTGTGTGGATATTTAAGTGAACATGTTTACAATTTTTGTATATATCACTCTCTCCCTCTCCTGAAAGACCAGAGATTGTGTATTTTCAGTGTCCCATGTTCCGACTGCACCTTCTTTACAATAAAGACTGTAACTGAGCTGACTGTGACCTGGACGCTCCTGGAATCATTTCTACCCCTTCCCTTCTGGTGCCAGGGATTGGTATCTGAGAGGCACCAGGGCCCCACAGGAGGGGACGGGGAGGTAGAGGCCAGGCTGACCCCCAGGCTCTGGGGGCTCCAGGTCCATAGGTCCCCACCACCACGTATCCCACTAGTCTGGTTCTCTGAAATGCTGCGAGACCCCTTGTTTTTTTTGTTTGTTTGTTTTTGTTTTTGTTTTTGAGATGGAGGTTCACTCTGTCGCCCAAGCTGGAGTGCAGTCGTGCAATCTCGGCTCACTGCAACCTCTGCCTCCCGGGTTCAAGCAATTCTCCTGCCTCAGCCTCCAGAGTAGCTGGGATTACAGGTGCCCGCCACCACGCCTGGCTAATTTTTGTATTTTTAGTAGAGACAGGGTTTTGCCATGGTGGCCAGGCTGGTCTCAAACTCCTCACCTCAAGTGATCCACCCACCTTGGTGTCTCTCAAAGTGCTGGGATTATAGGCATGAGCCACAGCGCCCGGCCTGTTTTTTTTTTGTTTTTTTTTTTAAGACGGAGTTTCACTCTTATTGCCCAGGCTGGAGTGCAATGGCGTGATCCCGGCTAACCGCAACCTCTGCCTCCCAGGTTCAAGTGATTCTCCTGCCTCAGCCTCCCAAGTAGCTGGGATTACAGGCATGCACCACCATGCCCGGATAATTTTGTATTTTTAGTAGAGATGAGGTTTCTCCATGTTGGTCAGGCTGGTCTCAAACTCCCGACCTCAGGTGATCCACCCACCTCGGCCTCCCAAAGCGCTGGGATTACAGGCGTGAGCCACCACAACGGGCCTAGAGTGAACCTGTTTTTTTTTTTGTTTGTTTTTTTGAGGGATAAATAAATAAATAAATAAATAAATGCCTAGGCTAGAGTGCAGTGGCAAAATCTTGGCTTACTTTAACCTCTGGCTGGCTGCAACATCCACCTCCTGGGCTCATGTGATCCTCCCTGCTCAGCCTCCTGAGTAGCTGGGACCACAGGCATGTGCCACCATGCCCAGCTAATTTTAAAGTTTTTTGTAGAGATGGAGTCTCCTTATATTGCTTGGGCTGGTCTTGAACTCCTGAGCTCAAGTGATCCTCCCACCTTGGTCTCCTAAAATGCTGGGATTTCAGGCATAAGCCACCGCGTCCGACCCTGATGATTTCACTCTTATGTTCTAGCATTCTATAACGCTGATGAGAGTGATGCTAATGGTACCATTTGCATTGTTTGTAAGTGATCTTGTTGGTAATGATTTGTAGGGTTCTTTTCTGTAAATCCTTGTCTAGATAAGAATTTCTTATCGTTGATCCTGTTTGGTCCTTGATGGTTTGTTTTCTCTCTTGGTGTTGGGGTGAGCAGTCACGGTTTTTCGCATGTCCTCTTCTCGCCACCTTCTATTCCTGGGACTCCTGTAAGATTTGCCGTGAAGCCTCCAGTACCAGGTCCCTATTCCATGGCCTTCCATGGCCACACCCTTCCCCACTTCTCACTGCTACCTTTTGCAGTTACATCCCCCAGCTTGGGTTTACTTTTGAACCCATCTATTGGGGTTTTTATCTCAATTACTTTTTCATTCCTAGGATTTTTGAGACAGAGTCTCACTCTGTCACCCAGACTGGAGTGCAGTGGTGAGATCTCAGCTCACTGCAACCTCCACCTGCCAGGCTCAAGTAATTCTTGTGTCTCAGCCTCCCAAGTAGCTGGGATTACAGGCATGCACCACTACACCTGGCTCATTTTTTGTATTTTTAGTAGAGATGGGGTTTCACCATGTTGGCCAGGCTGGTCTCGAACTCTTGACCTCAGGTTATCCACCTGCCTCAGCCTCCCAAAGTGCTAGGATTACAGGCATGAGCGACTGCACCCAACCTCATTCCTAGGATTTCTAACTGTTTTTTTTTTCATAACTTCCTGGTTGAATGAAGCACAGCTAAGAACCATCTCTGGAGCCAAAATGCTGGCTTTGCCCCTTTCTAGCTCAGTCATCCTGGGTAAGTCTCTCAACCTGTCTGTGCCTCAGGTTCTCCTTCTGTAAAAGGGCCATCGTGGTTCCTGTGGCGTGGGAGGGTGACAATTACTGTGGTGAGGGGTGTGGAGCTTGCAGCAGTGCTTGTCACAGCAACTGCCACTCAAGTGTTGCCCCATATTCCTCTAGCTCTTGCTCCTTCTTTAAGAAGTCATTTTTTAGCCAGGGGCGGTGGCTCATGCCTGTAATCCCAACACTTTGGGAGGCCGAGGTGGGTGGATCACCTGAGGTTGGGAGTTCCAGACCAGCCTGACCAACATGGAGAAACCCCATCTCTACTAAAAGTACAAAAAATTAGCCAGGCATGGTGGCGTATGCCTGTAGTCCCAGCTACTCGGGAGGCTGAGACAGAATCGCTTGAACCCGGGAGGCGGACGTTGTGGTGAGCCGAGATCACGCTTTCGCACTCCAGCCCGGGCAAGAAGAGCGAATCTCCCTCTCAAAACAAAAGTCATTTTTAGCCGAACACAGTGGCTCATTCCTGTAACCTGGCACTTTGAGAGGCCGAGGCAGGAGGATTGTTGGAGCCCAGGAGGTCAAGGCGAGCCTTGGCAACATAGCAAGACCCCTTCTCTACAAAAAATATCAGCTGGGCATGGTGGCGCACACTTGTAGTTCCAACTACTCAGGAGGCTGAGGTGGGTCACCTGAGCCTCAGGAGGTCAAGACTGCACTGAGCTGAGATCACACCACTGCACTCCAGCCTGGGTGACAGGGCCAGACCCGGAAAGAGAAGTTCTTTCCAATAACCTTAAGGAAACAGCCCATTTCTCAGACTGCTCTACTCTTCTGTGGAGCTGGTCTTGCTTAGGAACCTACCATCCCCTGCCAAGTGGGCATCAGCTGTGAGGCGCCTCTGGTGTGGGGGGAATGCAGGTGGCCCCTACCCAGCCTCTCATCTCCTAGCCAGCCCCAGCATGGCCATCACCCAGGGGACACAGTTGAGTCCCAGTGTCCAAGTCCTCAGCTACAGGGGGGCAGTGCCAATGCCGCCACATGGCTGACCCAGCCCCTCTGCAGCCACTGACCTTGGCTCTTCATCACCATGGGAGCCCCTTTCTGCTTGCTTTAGAGAAATTTCCCCACTTTCTCTGATCTGAGGACATATTCTTGGCCTTATTTGAATGTGGCTGTGTTTAGAGCATTTTTCCTACTTCTATGTGCTGGAAGCAGAAAGTGATTACCGTATGTGTCTGGTCTCCCTCCAAAAACACCAGATCCAGATAATTACGCTCAAATTATTTCGCTGCAGTATTTCAGATGTCCCCTCCACCCTGTTTCTAAATTTGGCTTCAGGGTATACTCAGAAGACAGAGAAGCTCAGAACACCAGCTATGCGTGGTATTGCAAAATAAATTTATTTGAAGATAAACTGTCTTATAAAAGGTCAGAGGCAATTTGAGATCCCAGATTCAGCTTGTCTCATAAAAAGATTCAACTTCAAGTAGCACAATTTCTTGTCTGCTTTTAATCCTGAACATTCTTGAAGCATGAAACAGCCAACTGTTTACACAACACATCTGTGACATCTGACTCTGGCACCAGTGGCGCCGCAGCTTTCAGCTCTGAGGCCCCACGGGCTGCAGCCCTCAGCTTTGGGAGGGCCCAGATCAGGCCACTGTGACCTCTGGCTTTGCCAGCAACAACAGGTCCCAGCATCCCAGCCCTTCCCTCCCCTGGCACCTCCCAAAAGCACAAGAATGCAAACCGAGACTGGCCCACCACTGAGGCAGGGGTGGACTCCCGCTTGAGTGTGCCAACAGGGCGGGTGGACTGTCCTGGTGACTTCCTGGTGGGCCTGGCCAACCAAGAGGCCAAGTGGCCTCACCAGGCCTTACCTGGCTGCCTGGCAGCCCGGAGAGGAAGGAGGAAGGACGCTCACGGTGCGACAGCTCTGGCCACGCTGGCGGGAGCTACGTGATGATCCTGGCGATGGCTTGCAGGGAGGGGAAGTCGTCGTCCCGGGCAGCATGCAGCGCCTGGTGGCTGCTGGCATCGCCATGCGCGAGCACCTGCTGGCAGGTGGGGCACACACGGCAGTCCAGGCCCGCCTGCTGGGTGGTGGCCTGCCACGCGCTCTTCTTGTTCTTCTTGGACTTGGTGCTCAGAGGCTTCTCGCGGTTGCAGAAGTCCGTGTGTGCAGACAGGAGCTCCTGCTGCTTGGCCGTGTCGGGCAGCAGGACCAGCAGCTCATTAAAGACCTTCTGGAAATTCTCCCCCAGCAGGTCCCGGCAACTCTTGTAATACTGGGCTGCGGAGATCAGGCCCTGCCACCGGAGAGCCGGACTCAGTCATCCCCTCTGGCCCGGGCCCTGGATGAAGACGGGCTGGCACCCCGCCCCGGGCCCGCCTGACCCATCTGGACTCCCCGGGCCCGCCTGACCTGTCTGAACTCCCCTGAGTGGCTCTTGAACTCGCTGAAGCGGGCCTCGTCGCTCTGCAGGAAGTCCCTGATGGACTGGATGAGCTGAAGGTTCCTCTCCCGGAAGTTCTCGGGGACTAGGTACGCCCGTGGGGCAGGCAGCAGCCTGGGTCTGGGGGTCAGAAGGTAAAGAGGAGGTGGAGGCTTCAGCCTTCACAGTGGCCCAAGGGGAGGGTACCGTTCCTCCACCCCCGGTGGACACCAGGCAGCTCACCCACACTTACGCTTTTGTGGTGGTGGTGGTGGCGGGGCTGGGGACACAGGCCGGGTGGGGGCTAGGCAGAAGGCCAGAGAAGCCAGGGGGCGGCTTGCTGATTGGGGGCACCAGGCCCGGCGGGGGTGGGGGAGGCGTGCCCTTCAGGAGCACCACAGCGCTGAAGCCTGAGGGGTGGCAGGACAAGACCCAGAGAGGACCCTCGCTGACTGCGGGCTGCCTGGCCTCCAGGGCCAGCTTCTGTCTACAGCCACCCCTTCCCTGCAGGGCAGGTGCAGGGCCAGCACCCACACCACTGCTGCTGGTGTGGCAGGCCCAGCCCACACAAGCTCACGCACCCTCAGACCTGGGAGGCGCCATGAGGGCCGGTCTCACAGAGGCAAGGAACACAGGGTGGTTAACGGGAGGCTGGAGGTCATGTGGGTGGCCGATGGCATCACACAGGGGTCCCCACCACCCAGATGCAGACTGTGCCTGCGGCTCCAGCCTGACCCCGGCCCCTCCCGACACCCAGGGAGCAGGCCTGAGCCAGCACGCGTACCTGGGGGCGGCGGCATCCGGGGTGGGCAGGGGCCGCCGAGCGCTGGGAAGTCCTCCTGTGGCGTGGGGCAGGGGAAGGACCCCAGGGGCCTTGGGAGCCCAGGGGGTTCCTTGGGGGCACTCCGAGCAGGGGCCGGGCCCTCCATGTGTCCATTAACGACGACGGCAACTGGCCCCTCGGCTCTGCTGGCAGGAGCTTCCGGGGCCTGCAAAGCCCCTGGGGGACAGGTAGCGGGCGGGGGCTGTGGCAATGTGGTGCCTGGCTTCTCCGAGCCCACTTTCTTCTTCTTCCCAACTTTAGAGGGTTGGATGGAGGCCAGCCCCAGTGTGGAGGAGACGGAGCCCGTGGGGCGTGTGCTCAGAAGCTCCTGCAGGGCCGGGCCGCCGTCCTCCTCCTCCTCCTGTGTGAAGGGCGGGCCGCCCTTCCTGCCGCCCCTGCTCCCCTTCCCAGCCTTCCTGGTGGGCTGGCCGCTGCCGGTAGCCTGCGCCGAGAGTGGGGGCTGTGCTACCTTCTTGCTGCTACTGCTGCTGTTCCAGGCAGAGACAAGGCTGGTGGGGGCGGTGCCAGGCTTGGGCACCGAGGACACCAGGGCGGGGAAGTCCTCCTCCTGGAAGGCACTCCTGCCTCTGGCAGGGATGGCGTACGGCAGCGCCAACCCCACAGGGCCCGGGGTTGCTGCAGTGGAGCAGGAGGAGGAAGTGGAGGCAGAGAGGCTGGGGAAGTCTTCGTCCTTGAGCTTCGGGCTGGGTGGTGGGAGGGCGCTGGGTGCAGGGAAGCACAGCTGGTCAACAGCTATCAGGCCCCGTGGCTCCATACCTGCCCTCCCGGCACCCACCTGTGGCTGCCCGCACCCGCCCACCATGCACCATTCACCCCTGGGCGCCCATACTCTCACCCTGGCACCCCCACACACCCTGGGGCGGCTGGGCCTGTCACCGAGAAGGCTTCTTGGCTTACAGGACCATTTGTCGAGGTTTCCTTGGGGCCTATGAAGAACACAAGGCCCCCAGGTCAGGTCAGGGTGTGGGGACAGGCCCTCTGGGGACTGGCAGTGCAGGGTGCTCTTCAACCTCCCAGGTGAAGGCCTGGAGCGTCCCAGGCACCGTGCCCATCAAGAGCTGGCCACTAAGCTGGACATCGTGGCTTACACCTATAATCCCAGCACTCTGGGAGGCTGAGGTGGGCGGATCACCTGAGGTCAGGAGTTTGAGACCAGCCTGGCCAACATGGTGAAACCCCATCTCTACTAAAAATAGAAAAACAAGCCAGGCGTGGGGGCAGGCACCTGTCATCCCAGCTACTCGGGAGGCTGAGGCAGGAGAATCACTTGAACCCGGGAGGCAGAAGTTGCACTGAGCCAAGATTCCGCCACTGCACCAGCCTGGGCAACAGAGTGAGACTCTGTCTGTCTCACAAAAAACAAACAAACAAACAAACAAACAAAAAAAAAGAGCTAGCCACTGACCTCCTAGCCCGGGCAGAGCTGCCACCAGGTAGGGCTTACTCACCTGGGCCTTCGCCCTGAGTCCGGGGTGAGCGCCGGGGGCCACGGGGATCCTCAGGTCCCCGCGCCGCTGCCTCCTCCTTCTTGGGCCTACCGCCTTCCTCCTGATCCTCACTCCTGCGAGCCTCCTCCTGCTGCTGTGCGGCCACGGAGGCCCGGACAGCAGCTGCTACTTCTCGGTCCTCTTCTTCCCTGGGACAAGGAGGCCAGCCTTCAGGCTGAGCATGGCCCGAGACCAATGCCTCAGGCGGGCAGTGCCTGGGCCCAGTGTGTGGGGCGATCATCTGGGGTCTGATGCCTCTGCCCTGCAGGGCTGCCGGGGCGGTGCTTCCTCGTACAGCTGCGGTGACCGCCCAATTGACACAGGCCCCTTTCACCCACCCCAACCCTGGGATCTGTGGCTGTGGCTAGAACTGGAGAAAAGAGAGAGAAACTTGTGCCCACCAAGGACCCTCAACAGACCCTACTGCCACTCAGGACCCCAGGAACTCTGGCCACAATCCCTGACCCCATCCCCACTCCCAGCTTGGCCACTGGCCACGGTCACCACAGGAGAATGTCAGCGGCACGCAAGGTCCCCCACCTTTTGTACCTCCAGCTTCCTCGGCGGCTCTGCTGGGCTCCGCGAGTGCCAGCCCGGGCCACTCGGCCCTGGCGGCTGTACCTGTCCACCTCCTCGTAGTCTTCGCCACCAACGACCCCTGCGGCCAGCAGACAGCCCGTCACTTCCCGGGACCCCGGGACGACAATAGGAGGAACAGGCCTGCCGTCAAGGCCACACCCGGCCAATGCTCAGGCCTGGATGGCAGAGGCTTTCCTACCCACAGTGCACATGAGCCCGGGAGTGGCACAGGAGCCTCGCAGGGTCCACGCCAGCCACGGGCCTCTACGACCTGGGTGCCAAGCCACAGGAGCAGTGGGAAGGGAGAGGAGGAGGGTCCCCGAGCCCCAGGTGGGATCTGCATACAGCAGATGCTCAGTAAAAGCCTCCTGGTCCAGGGAAGGGCCCCGGGCACCCAGGGCAGCAGACCCGAGACCCTGAGGGAGCAAGAGCTCCTGGCACACAAGGGGTGCTCGGGCGCTCCAGCCTGGCCGGAGGGTGGGAGGTCAGCTCCTGCACCCACAGCTCGGTCTCATCTCAGGCTCCAGAGCAGGGCATGGTCATGCGGCCCCACCTGGGGGCATCCAGGCCAGGTGCCTGCTCACCCTCGTTCCGGCGCGAGTGCCGTGGCGCGTAGCTGAACTGCAGGTCGATGTGGCGGTTCTGGCGTGCCTCGGCGCGGCTGCGACTGTGGCAGGCCGTCCTGTGGGCCTTGAGGTCGATCTCGGTGCGGAAGGCGTGGGTGAACTGCTCCGTGCTGCAGCGGCCTTCCTCACACAGAAAGTGCTTCTCCCGGAAGTGCTCACGCAGGTAGGCATAGTCGCTGGCAGGAGATGGGGTGTCGGTAGGAGGGCTGCAGCCCGGTTAGCCCCACGCCCTCGGGGAGGGAGGGTCATCTGTCTGTCTGCTGCCCGGCCCACCTGTAGTAGTCCTGGGCCCCGTCCGAGTCGCAGAAGTGGCAGAAGTAGTGGTCGCGGCGCAGGTGCTTAAGCAGCTCATCATTGTCCAGGTAGCGCTCGTCACAGAACTTGCAGAGCGGGTGCCCACGGTGCGACGTGTCATCGGGGTCACCCTGCATGCGATGCCGGGCCAGGTCCTTGCGCGAGTACCACTTGCGCTCATATGTGAAGATCTACAAGGCACAGGAGGCTGGGCACAGGCTGGGGGACCCCAAGCCTCCTGCCTCTTCCCACAGGCCAGTGGCGGAGCAGCAAGGGGCGGGAGAGGGCCCCGCCAGCAGCCAGAGGCCTCCCTGCCACGTGCAGCCTGACCCTCAGGGGGCCATCCGGGGCCAGAAGCAGCAGGTGGACAAGCCCCTCCCAGCCGTGTGGCCACATCCCTTGCACCACCCACCGCCTAGGCTCTCTCCGGGGTCGCTGGGGGGGCACACCTGGAGGTGCTGGAGGCACAGACGGCAGCAGAAGAGCTCATGCTGCCTCCGCATGTGCTGCTCCAGGTCCCCGAAGAGGCTGAAAGGTGGCAGCTCGGGGCACCGCGGGCACTCGTGCTGCAGCAGCTGCCTAGGAAGACACCGAGAGCCGCCCACGGCCCCAGGACATTCAGTGTCACCGCCGGGAGCAGGGCCACTCACCAGGCCCCAGGCCCGTGACCCAGGACAGATGCAAGGCCATGGCTGTGCACATGGCCTGGGTCAGAAGCCTGGCTCTAGCCCTGAGCCCATGAGCTGCCCCTCCTCTGAGAGACCAGCCCTGGGACAGCTGTACCCTTTATAGGATTTTCAGGCCACGGGCCTGGCTCACACACCTCGTGTGCCCCTCAAGGTGCCCCCGAGGCAGGTGCTGCACCACCTGGGCATGCCTTTCCCCAGCACAACCACCAGCTCTACCCCCAGGAGGGCCTGGTAAGCCTCCCCAGTCACAGGATGGAAACCCAGGTGCCTGGCCCCAGCATTGGTGCACCAGGTGGCCCCCGAAGTGCCTCCGGTTGTGAGGAGAGTGGGACGTGAAGGGCCACAACCACAGGGAGGCCAGGACCCAGGGAGAGGCCCTGCTCACCTGTACAATGCGTACACCTTTCCATCTGCAAAGTAGATATCATATTTCTTCTCATGCTGCAGCTGGTGGATGGGGATGGTGGCAAAGGCAGGAAGCTTCTTCCCAAAGACCACCTAGAGCCAAAAACCAGAGGGGTGGTGAGCAGGACTGGGATGGGACCCCCACCTGGGATGCAACGGAGGCTCAGAGGCAAGGGAGCCCTCACAGACCCTCTAAGAAGGAGTGAGGCATAAAGGGTCCTCCTAGGAGGCCCCAGCAGGCAGCGGCCCCTGGCACCCTGGCCTAGGCCTCCCCTCCTCACCCCAACCCGCTTGCCTAGGGTCAGGGGCAGAGGACAGAGACACAACGCCAGGCCTCTCCACCAGGGGGCGGCAAGGCCAGTCCCTAAGCAGCCACGCCCCACCGGCCGGGGCCCTCACCCGGTGGCTCCACCCTGCGGGGAACAGAGCAGCTGTCGCTCTGCGGAGCTTTCCAGGACAGAGAAGAAACGTGTTCCAAGCAGCTGCTAAGGGAATACCAATGGCCGCCAGCCGGGGATGCATCAGGTGACAAGGCCCGGCTACCCTGTCCGGCGCCCCCGCCCCCACGTTTCCATGGCGCCTTCACGGCACGAGGCTCAAGCCGACCACCTCAGCTCCGTGCATCCTCAGCAGGCGCTGCAGAGCCTCTGCGTGGGCCCCTTCCCAGGGGTCTCTGGCACCTGCAAAGCTGGCTGCCAGAGGACTTGCCCGTCTGCCCTGTGCCCTCCACAGACGGCCCCGGCATCCCTGCTCAGCTCAGCACCCCTGCTCTCCACGAAGCTCTGCTGGGGAGGACCCTCGCTGCCCCCATGCCAGCAGAGATTGGTGCCACCCACCCCTTGGGTTGGTCAAGCCCCCTTCTGGCTCCATCACTGTCCCAAGCCTGGCACTGGTCACTCGCCTCGGCTCTGGGCCCTTAGAGCAGCTCAAGGCCTCAAGCGCACATCCAGGGCAGGGGGACGTCCTCACCCGGGCAAGGGTCATGCCAAGGTCATGTTAAGTTTACCTTAGCCCCTTAGCCAAAGAGAATGTCGGGCTGGAACGGCCGTGAAGCTGGGAAACCTGAGGCTTGGCAGGAAGAGCCAGTCCCACACGTGCTCAGGGGGTCCTGGGGTGTCTCTGTCCCCCAGAGCAGGTGGTTAAATCTGACTCCCCAGGAGGGTCAGGAGCGCCAGGAGAGCTCAGCCCCCACCCCACCGACAGGAGCCGCTTCCACCAGGGGCGGGGTGGGCGGTACGGGCTGCAGGAGCAGCAGCCCAGGCCTTTCCTCCCCTGGTCACATCAGGCAAGGCTGGGCAGGATGAACTCGGCCGCCTCTGCGTCCCCGTCACATGCTGGGCTCAGATGGGCACTTCATCACAGCTGCCTCCCACGCGCGACGTCTTCAGATGGGAGTCGCAGCCCCACCCAGAGCCCCATTACAAAGGCTGCCAGTCACTGCGGGCCACACCACCCTGACCTGTCCCCTGGCTCCCCTCCCCTGGAGCAGCCTCTCTGCACACCCCAAACACAGGGAAAGGCCCTGGGCCTTGTGCGGCCTCTTTTCACAGCAGCTGCCCTCGCGGCAGCTGGCACCCAGCCCTACCTTCCACTCACTCCCAAGGGCGCCTCTCCAGCCCGACCCTCACAGGCGCAATCTGTGCAGCCACTCAGGGTGCTGCTGGGACCCAGAGCACGAGCCTCCTCGGGGAGCTGAGCGGAGCCACTCAGGGTGCTGCTGGGACGCAGAGCGCGAGCCTCCTCGGGGAGCTGAGTACCTGGACTCCCGGGAACCAGACAGGGCCACTTCCCCACCACAGCTCCCGAAGCAGCAGGCAGGCGGGCGAGGAAGCCAGTGTCTGCCTGTGAGGTGGCCAGGCGAGCAGCCTGTGAGGGAGGCCCCAAGGCTGCCAAAAAGCATCCAAGCCCATCAGACTCCGAGGAGAAACGACTTCCTTCCCCAGAGGAAACCCGTGCCAGGGGCGTCCCCAGCCCCACCTCCCCACTTTGGCACCCCTCCTTTCAGCCGCACGCCCTCATCCACCGTGGGTGGCGGCGACTCAGACTGCGGGCACAGGGGCATCCCAGGCACCCCTAACACGCAGCCAACCTCCACTGGTGCGTCCCCCGAGTGCCACCCGTGTGCGGGCACAGGGCCAGGCCCCGCTGAGGAGCACATACACTCCTCTGTCCTTGCCGCCTGGGGGCACCCATGCTCCATGCGATGCTAGCACATCGCAAGTCCCAAGAAACCTATGTGGGACGGCACTGGTGGGGCTGGCGGACTCGGTCAAGGCAGCCTCTCTGAGGCCAGGGAGCAGCTGGGGGTGGAGGAGCTGCGGGGAGCTGGGCAGAGGCAGGGCCAGGCCGGGCGGATCCCAGGTGCACTGACAGCACCCAGATGAAGGACCCAGGGTGGGCCAGCACGGGAGGGCTACATGCCCCATATGGAGTCTAGATGGGCATCCATCTGCACAGCAGCTAAGGCAGGTACTCCGAGCACCAGGGGTAGCAAGACCCAGAGTATTCGTCCCTCCTGAACAGCTGGGAGGGGTCACCTAGGCAGGGCACCTAAGCGGAGCAACGAGACAGGGGAAAGGAGACACTGGGTGGGCTCAGGAACAGGAAGAGGCTTGTGAAAGAACAATGGCTGTGAGCAAGGTGGGCCCAAGGCCACAATCACTGGAGCAGGAGGGCGTGCAGGTTTGGGGCCGGAGTGAGAAATACCACCTGATAGTGGGGGCCTGAGGCTGCCCATCCTCAGACAGGCAGGGAGACCAGGACTGGCTGCCCAGACCTCAGGAGCGGGCAGTGGGACAGCAGTGCAGCCTGGCATGGCCAGCATCGCCCTCCCTGAGGGTGAGGAGGGGGCTGGACAAGGCTGCGCCCCGCAGCACAGTGGCCAGGGTGGAGTCAGGCACGGTCCACTAAGGAGCCAAACAGCAAGACCCTCCCCCGCCTGATGGTTCCAGCACAGCCAGGCTGGGAGTAGGGGACGTAGGGGACATGGAGGCCAGGGGAAGATGGCTATGGGTAGGGGACTTGGGGGCCTGGGGGAGATGCCTGGGGTGGGACTTGGTGGCTGGAGGGAAATGGCTGGGTTGGGACGTGGGGGCAGGGGGGAGATGGCTGGGGCTACAGAGGGAGACAACAGGTCTAGGTCGCCCCAGCAGGAGAGGGTCACGTGTCTGAGGACAGAAGTACAGAACCCATGGGGAGAGGCTTGGGGATGGGCTATGCAGCAAATGATGAGGGGAAGGGCACTCTACGTGAGCCCTGGAGACGGCCAAGCTAGGCCCCAAGGAGAGCAAGAGGCAAATGGGGTGAGGCCTGCTTAGGAACAGGAGGCCCCCAAGACCCCCCACAGGGACAGGTGTGGTGTCTGCCTGGGGCCTTGCTGCTCTACACTCCCCAGCATGTCATGGGCACACAAAAGGACAGCGGTGAGGGCCTGCCCACACGTGGGGAGGGGGACCCTGGGGTTGGCTCCCAGGGCCATCTAGAGAGTCTAGACCTCCAAGGAGCCCAGATGGGGACAGCAGCAGCAGGGAGCATCTTACAGAGGGCCAGGGCCATGGGGGACGGGAGCGGGGTGGGGGGACAGCAGAAGCAGGGAGCATTTTACAGATAGGGCCAGGGCCACGGGGGACGGGAGCAGGGCGGAGGGGGAGCAGTAGGAGTAGGAAAGCATGACCCAAGCCAGCATGTCACCCTCCTGACCTGGGACCTTGGGTAACTGTGGGCTGGCCCTCTGCGCCCCCTCCCACTGCCTGCCTGTAAGGTGCAGGTGGGCTGCCCTGGGGGGCTTGCAGCCTCATCAGGACTCCTGCAGTAACACCAGGGACCAGAGCAAGCTGGAGAGCAAGATGCAAACAGCAGGAACCGGCCCTTGAGAAAGACGCAGCCAGGAAAGAGGCCCAGAACGTGGGGCTCCACCACCCCAGGACCTCTGTCAGCCATGGCCAAGACCAGCGCCCCCACCTCCCACGGAGGGGAGCCTGCCTCGGCTTCCACCCTGAGCACCTGCCAGGGGTCAGGCCCATCTGGCTCCTGGCCTGAGCAGCAGCTGCAGCCTCCACAGGGAAGGCCTGGGTCCAGGTGTGTGGAACTAACAAGCACATGGAGCCAGCCGATTCCACACGGCATCCTGGACACTTTCCTCACAATTTTCGCAAAACCTTAGTCCCATAAGGGAGGCCAAGGCAACGCCAGGGTTCAGGAGTTGAGGGTTGCAGTGGGAATTCCTGAGCACGCATGGGACACAGAATATATTCAGGGGATGGTGCTGAACTCAGTAAGGAAAAAGGAGACTAGAGTGAGGCGGCAAGCTCAAGATGGGAAGAAAATAGAACGAATGCAAAGGAGAGGAGACCAGCAAACAGCAAACTTTCCAGGAGCCCCTCCTTCAGCCCAGTAAGGCGGGGTAGGCCCTAGAGGAAGCCGGCTGGGGGCACCCAGTGCCAAACCACACCCCGGCTGACAGCTCATGTCCGCAGCCCCCAGCCACAGAGCTCCTGGAGGGCGTGGGGCCTACAAGGAATGAGAGCGGGCAGAGGCTGCCACAGTAAGCATACGCAGATGTTCACTCATGTCTTGCATCAGACCTGCAGCCTGGGTCGGGACCTCACGTGCCAAGAACTCCTTAGCGTCTTCTTTCCGGAAGGAAGCTACAGGTGTGCTGGGAAACCTAGCTGTTGGAGAGTGAGGTCATGCTATGCAGGACTGGCTGGCAAGGCAGGCCCTGGCAAAGCCAGGAAGCGCCCTGAGGAAGCCACGGGCCAAGGTCCTCTGTGACTGTTCCTGCACCCCAGATCTCCCCGGGGTCTGGGTCGGCCTCCTCCTGTCACATGACAGACTGATAGAATCTCCAAATGTCTTTTTCCAAAAAGGGCACAGACTATAAGCCCACAAATTGCTCAGAGAATTGCAGCATCTCTTCAACTCCTTTGATGTAAACGTCTACTTAAAGAAAGAAAAGGAAAAAAAGAAAGAACCTACACCTCAATACTGCTCTGCATCACTTCTGGGGAGAAGAAAGTTAGATTCCTGGCAGATGTCACCAGCCGAAGCCTTCTATGAACAAACCGGGGGAATTTCACAATGCTGGAAGCAAACAAATCTCTAAGCTCAGCAAACCAACGGGCTCCAGCCAGGTGCCCACAGCCAGCAGCTGGCAGTGCAGTGAGGGTGGAGGAACGCTGCATGGTACCCTCTGACCCCTCCACGGCTTCCAAGTCTGTACAGTCAAAAACGTCTCCCATTCACTGCGGAGATGAGCGCCAAAGGCGGGGGGCGGCGGCGAGGAGGAGGACAACTTCCTAACACTTTTCTCCCTTCCCGCCAAGAAGCGCGAGGGGGCCTTCCCCTCCGACGGGCAGGTCTCCTTCCGAGGCTAGTGTCACCTCCACTCCACAGAGGAAAACGTCAGTCTCGGAAGGAGTTTGCTCAGGGTCATCCAATGGGGGCCCAGAAACACAGCTGGGCTGAGAATGCCCAGAGTTTGACGCCCTGCTTCCAGGACGGATGGCCTCCGCAGAGTCCCCCTTGCCTTGTTTCCTCGAATGGAGGACCCTGGAAAATAAACTCCTGAAGACGAGCAGGTCACCGAGTTCTCCATCTGATCAGGACCCTTCCTGAGGCCCGGCAGGAACCCCCGGGACACGGGGGAAGTCCCCAGGCTGTCCCCACAGGGCTTGCCCCCTCCTGCAACCCGCTCGGCCGCCTCCGGCCTCCAAGCCCCAACGCCCCGCCGTCAGCCGCACGGCCGGGACCCCGCCCTGGGTGGCCCCACCAGGCCTCTCTCGGAAGCCGGCGCCGCCGGGCCCACGGCCGGACCTCAGTGAGGCAAAGTCCCCATCCGGTCGCCGGGAGCCCCGCTGCCCCCGGGCCGCGCCCCCGGCGCCCCGCACCTGGCGCAGCTCCTCGCGGCACACGGCGCAGTAGCGCTGCTCGCAGAGCACCCGCATCTTGGTAGAGCAGCGGTAGCACACCGGGTGGTCGCAGCGGCCCAGCGCCGTGGCCTCCAGGTCTCCGCAGCACAGCACGCAGCTCCCGCCTCCCCGCTCAGGAGCTGCCGCCGCCGCCGCCTCCAGGGCCGCGCGCCGCCCCTCGGCGCCCCCCGCCGCCGCCATGGTCCGGGATCCGGCCCCCTCTCGGCCGGCGCGGCGCCGCGCGGCCTGGCTCCCGGCGGGCCCGCCCCTTCCGGGCAAACGTCACCGCCCCACCCAGCAACGGGCCCGCCCGGCGCAAGTGCGCGTCGCGACTTCCGCCTCAGCGCGGCGCCGGCTAGAGCGGTGGCCCTGATAGAGGCCGCTCTACCATGAGCCGACCGCTCGAAGGTCCGCGCGGCCACGCGGCCAGCCCCGGGCTCCTCTGGGCCACGCGTGTCACGTCAACACTCGCCGGGCTCCACGAACTGGCGTTGTCAGATGAAACACGGCACAACTGGTTTGCATCTCAGATGAACAAGGGGTCATGTCTTAGTGTAAGTATAGCCCAAATATTGATGGGCTAGGCTCATACTAAAATGCTGCTCCTTATCTGAAATTGACATTTAAGTGGACCTGCCGTATTTGTATTTGCTAAATCTGGCCACCTTATTAGGAAACCGGTCTCTGGTATTTGGAACACACACAAGCGTGGTCCCGCCTCCACTTCCCTAATGCCCTGTTTAAATCCCTACATGAAAGACAACGTGAAAGGCAGCACGTGGTGACGTCCATCTCGCAGCCCAGGGCAGTCTCGCCAGGCCTGCCCAGAAGGGGCCTCTGGAAGGCACGAACGGAACCTGTCCTCTTTACGCTGGGCCCAGCACAGGACGTGTTTGGATGGATGCTGCAGTAACAGGGCCTCCTCCCTACCCTTGAGGGCCAGGCACACTCAGGACCTCCCTCCCTCTGCCATCCAGAAGGCAGGTCCAGATCTAAACCCTACTGGAAAAGAGGCAGTAAATTGTATCAATGAGCCTGAACTTTACTTACTTTATTTGAGACCGGGTCTTGCTCTTGCTGTAACACAGTGGTACGATCACAGCACACTGAGGCCTCAACCTCCTGGGCTCAAGTGATCCATGCCCAGTGAACTTGGACTTTAGAAACAGACACAAATGGGCTTGAAACCCCAATTTTGCCACTTGAAAAAAGCTGTCAGGCACAGTGGCTCAAGCCTGTAATCCCAGCAGTTTGGGAGGCTGGGTGGCCCGGATTGCTGGAGCCTGGGAATTTGAGACCAGCCTGGCCTACACAGTCAGGCTCCATCTCCACAAAAAAAATTTTTAGGCCGGGCGTGGTGGCTCACGCCTGTAATCCCAGCACTTTGGGAGGTTGGGATCACCTGAGGTCAGGAATTGGAGACAAGCCTGACCAAAATGGTGAAACCCCATCTCTACTAAAAATACAAAAATTAGCCGGGCGTGGTGACATGTGCCTGTAGTCCCAGCTACTCGGCAGCCTGAGGCAGTAGAATCTCTTGAAACCGTGAGGCAGAGGTTGCAGTGAGCCGAGATCACGACAATCACGCCACTGCACTCCAGCCTTGGCAACAGAGCGAGACTCCATCTCAAAAAAAAAAAAAAAAACACACACGACTAGAGTGCAGTGGCGTGATCTCGGCTCACTGCAAGCTCCGCCTCCCGGGTTCACGCCATTCTCCTGCCTCAGCCTCCTGAGTAGCTGGGACTACAGGCACCCGCCACCACGCCCTGCTAATTTTTTTTTTTTATTTTTAGTAGAGACAGGATTTCACCATGTTCGCCAGGATGGTCTCGATCTCCTGACCTCTTGATCCACCTGCCTTGGCCTCCCAAAGTGCTGGGATTACAGGCATGAGCCACTGTGCCTGGCCAAAACACACAAAAATTAACGGGGCGTGGTGACATGCGCCTGTAGTCACAGCTTCTCGGGAGGCTGAGGCACGAGAAACGCTTGATCCCAGGAGGCAGAGGTTTCAATGAGCAGAGATTGCGCCCCTGCACTCCAACCTGGGCCACAGAGTGAGACTCCATCTCAAAAAAAAAAAAAGAAAACTGGGAAAAGTTATTGTAAGGATGTAAGAAGTTCAACATCTTGGCTGGGCGCGGTGGCTCACACCTGTAATCCCAGCTTGAAATTGGCACTTTGTGAGGCTGAGGCAGGTGGATCACGAGGTCAGGAGATCAAGACCATCATGACTAACGCGGTGAAACCCCATGTCTACTAAAAATACAAAAAGAAATTAGCCTGGTGTGGTGGCGGGCGCCTGTAGTCCCACCTACTCCGGAGGCTGAGGTAGGAGAATGGTGTGAACCCGGGAGGTGGAGCTTGCAGTGAGCCAAGATTGCGCCACTGCATTCCAGCATGGGCAACAGAGTGAGACTCCATCTCAAAAAAAAAAAAAAAAAAAAAGGCCACAAACTTGGCTTAAAACACACAAATGTATTATCTTTAGTTCTGGAGTCCAGACTCTAACGTGGGTCACACTGAGCTAAAATCAGGGTGTCAGTATCACTGCATTCCTATTTGGAGGCTCCAGGGGAGAATCTGCTTCCTTGCCTTTTCCAGCTGTTAGAGGCTGCCCGAACTCCTTGGCTCATGGCTGCTTTCTGTCTTTCAGAGTTGACTCTGGGGGAGGCCAGTGGTCCAATCTTTTTTTTTTCTTTGAGATGGAGTCTCTGTCGCCCAGGCTGAAGTGCAGTGGCACAGTCTTGGCTCACTGCAACCTCCACTTCCCAGGTTCAAGCAATTCTCCTGCCTCAGCCTCCCGAGTAGCTGGGACTACAGGCACCCGCCACAACACCCGGCTAATTTCTTTTTGTATTTTTAGTAGAGACAGGGTTTCACCGTGTTAGCCAGGATGGTCTCCATCTCCTGCCCTCATGATCCACCCGCCTCGGCCTCCCAAAGTGCTGGGATTACAGGCGTGAGCCACCCCGCCCAGCTTTTTTTTTTTTAGGTGGAGTTTCGCTCTTGTTGTCCAGGCTGGAGTGCAATGGCACAATCTCGGCTCACTGCAAACTCCGCCTCCCGGTTCGAGCAATTCTCCTGCCTCAGCCTCCTCAGTAGCTGGGATTACAGGCATGCGCCACCACGCCCGGCTAATTTTGTATTTTTAGTGGAGACGGGGTTTCTCCATGTTGGTCAGGCTGGTCTTGAACTTCTGACCTCAGGTGATCCGCCTGCATTGGCCTCCCAAAGTGCTGGGATTACAGGCGTGAGCCACCACGCCCAGCCGCTAATCTCCTATTAAAGCCAGCTGGCCTGATGTGGTGGCTCAGGCCTGTAATCTCAGCACTTTGGGAGGCTGAGGCAGGCAGATCACTGGAGGTCAAGAGTTCGAGGCCAGCCTGGCCAACATGGTGAAACCCCATCTCTACTAAAAATACAAAAATTAGCCGGGCATGGTGGTGGGCGCCTATAATTCCAGCTACTTGGGAACCTAAGGCAGGAGAATCGCTTTGAACCCGGGAGGCAGAGGTTGTAGTGAGCGGAGATCATGCCACTGTACTCCAGCCTGGGTGACAGAGCAAGACTCTGTTTCAAATAAAATAAAATAAAGCCAGCTAATTAGCAACCTTAATTTTATATTCCCTGGTGTGGTGGTGCGCACGTGTAGTCTCAGCTACTCGGGAGGCCGAGGCAGGAGGATTGTGTCAGTCCAGGAGTTCTGAGGATATAGTGGGCTGTGTCAGTCAGGTGTCTGCACTAAGTTTGGCATCGACTTGGTGACCTCCTGGGAGCAGGGGACCACCAGGTTGCCTCAGGAGGGGTGAACTGGGCCAGTTTGGAAAGAGAGCAGGTCAAAACTCCTGTGATCAGTAGTGGGATCACGCCTGTGAATAGCCACTAGACATCAGCCTGGGCAACATAGTGAGACCCTGCCTCTAATCAACCATTTTATCTACAGCCTAATTCCCTCCTACTATGTGGCATAAATATTCACAGGTTGCAGGGATTGGGGGCGAACATCTTTGGGGGGCTACTGTTCTGCGTACACACATGGGTGAAGGCCAGGGATGCTACTAAAGATTCTCAGTGCACAGGATGGCAAAGGTCAGTAGTGCTGCAGCTACGAGTTTTTCTGTTTCTGGCCGGGCGCAGGGGCGCATGCCTGTAATCCCAGCACTATGGGAGGCCGAGGCGGGCGGATCCCCTGAGGTCAGGAGTTCGGGACCGGCCTGGCCAACATGGCGAAACCCTGTCTCTACTAAAAATACAGAAATTAGCTGAGCGTTTTGGCAGGCACCTATAATCCCAGCTACTTGGGAGGCTGAGTCAGGAGAATCTCTTGAGCACAGGAGGCGGAGGTTGCAGTGAGCAGAGATCGCACCATTGCACTCTAGCCTGGGTGACAGAGTGAGACTCTGTCTCAAAAACAAAACAAACAAAACAAAACAAAATAGTAGTTATGCTTATGATTCAAACATTTGGAGATAAATACTAGAAGAAACAGCTAACAGCTAAAAGAGTTGGAAGTAGCTGTCTCTGGAGAGTAGGAGCAGGGTGTGAAGGGTGGGCAGGGATAGCTTTGTTCTCTTCCTTATAGCAAGCAGCCTTTGATTTATAATGTATACTGCCTTGACAACATTAATTATTTTATTTTATTTATTTATTTATTTATTTTTTATTTTTTTGAGACGGAGTCTTGCTCTGTTGCCCAGGCTGGAGTGTAGTGGCACCATCTCGGCCCACTGCAACCTCTGCCTCCCGGGTTCAAGCAATTCTGCCTCAGCCTCCCGAATAGTTGGGATTACAGGCATGCAACACCATGGCTGGCTAATTTTTGTATTCTTAGTAGAGATGGGGTTTCACCATGTTGGCCAGGCTGGTCTCGAATTCTTAACCTTGTGATCCACCTGTCTCAGCCTCCCAAAGTGCTGGGATTATAGGCGTGAGCCACCAGGCGCAGCCCTAATTATTATTATTATTTTTTTTTTTCCTTTTTTTTCTTTTTCTTTTCTTTCTTTCTTTTTTTTCTAATTTTTTTTTTTTTGAGGTGGTCTCTTGCTCTGTCGCCCTGGCTGAAGTGCAGTGACATGATCTTGGCTCACTGCAACCTCCGCCTCCCGGGTTCAAGTGATTCTCCTGCCTCAGCCTCCCAGGTAGCTGGGATTACAGGTGCCTGCCACCACGCCCAGCTAATTTTTGTATTTTTAGTAGAGACAAAGTTTCACTGTGTTGGCCAGGCTGGTCTCAAACTCCTGACCTCATGATCCGCCCGCCTCGGCCTCCCAAAGTGCTGGGATTACAAGCGTGAGCCACCACACCCGGGCAATTTTTTGTATTTTTAGTAGACACGGGGTTTCACCGTGTTAGCCAGGATGGTCTCGATCGCCTGACCTTGTGATCTGCCCACCTCGGCCTCCCAAAGTGCTGGGATTACAGGTGTGAGCCACTGAGCCTAGCCAATTATTTAATATATTTACTGTTTTGGTTTTTTTTTTCATTTTTTGTGAGATGGAGTCTCGCTCTGACGCCCATGCTGGAATGCAGTGGCATAATCTCGGCTCACTGAAACCTCCGCCTTCTAGGTTCAAGCAATTCTTATACCTCAGCCTCCCGAGTAGCTGGGATTACAGGCGTGCACCACAACACCCAGCTAATTTTTTTGTATTTTTAGTAAAGATGGAGTTTCACCGTGTTGGCCAGGCTGGTCTTGAACTCCTGAGCTTAAGTGATCCGCCCACCTCGGCCTCCCAAACTGTTGGGATTATAGGCATGAGCCACTGAGCCCGAGCTATGTATTTACTTTTTGAGACAGGGTCTGTCGCCCAGGCTGGAGTGCAGTGGCAAGATCGCGACTCACTGCAGCCTTGCGAACTCCAGGCCTCAAGGGAACTTTCTACCTCGGACTTCAGGCACACACCACCACACCCAGCTAATATATATATATATTTCGTCATTGTTTGTTTTGGTAGAGATGGGGTTTCGCCATATGGCCCAGGCTGGTCTCTAACTCCGCCTCAGCCTCCCAAAGTGTTGGGATTGCAGGCGTGAGCCACTGTGCCACGCCCTGGCCAATAATTTTAAAGATGACAAAACAGATTTGCTCATTAATCTCCTCCTTACCAGGGCGTTCCTGTTCGGGGCCAGGCTTTGTGCCTGCGGCAGGCGTGGTCCTGGCCTTAAGCAAGTGTCTCACGGGTTTCTAGGCCGGACACTGGTGTCAAGGAACTGAGATGTGAGCCTCAAGAAGCAGGGCTGGCTCTCGTCACCTCCTCCCCAAGGAGAGTTGTGACTCCAGACCCCTGGAGGTGGGGAGAAGGAAGCCTTTGTCACCAGGTCCTGTTCCTGGGCACCAGGCTGGGCAGGACACAGAGGCCTTCCTCCTGCCGCCTGAAAAGGGAGCCCACAGACACCCTTAAGGTTCTGTGTTTTGCTCCTCTAACCCAGTCCTGGTCTCCCCCTGCCACGTGTTCCGGACACTCCACCCAACAGACGCCTCCCCGTGCCTCTGTTCCCAGTGACCTTTCCCTGCGTCCTGCGACTCTCACTCCCTTGGGCCACAGCAATAAACAAGGTAGAGGAGCCACTGCTGGTTTTTTTGTTGTTGTGGTTCTGTTTTGTTTTGTTTTTTTTGAGATAGAGTCTTGCTCTGTCGCCCAGGCTGGAGTGCAGTGGTGTGATTTTGGTTCACTGCAACCTCTGCCTCGCGGGTTCAAGTGATTCTCCTGCCTCAGCCTCCCGAGTAGCTGGGACTACAGGCACCCATCACCACGCCTGGCTAATTTTTGTATTTTTAGTAGAGACGAGGTTTCACTGTGTTGGCCAGGCTGGTCTCAAACTCCTGACCTCATGATCTACCTGCCTTGGCCTCCCAAAGTGCTAGGATTACAAGCATGAGCCACCATGTCCAGCTGTTTTTTTTTTGTTTGTTTGTTTTGTTTTTTTTTTTCTTGAGAGAGAAGGAGTCTTCCTCTGTTGCCCAGGCTGGAGTGCAGTGGCGCAATCTCCACTGCTTCTATTTGCTGTCACAGGGACTTCCATCCCAGCATAGACTTTCATTGATCAGTTTCCACAGTTCCCCCTGCAGAAGCTCCCCGGGCCACCTCCAGGGGGCGTCCTGGACCCTCCCCTGACTGGCTGGAGTCCCCCCAGGGGTCCAGAGACACCCACGTCCTCTTAGCCAGGAGCGGGTGGCAGCGCCAAGGGACCCTGATGGGGCCTGGCTCTGGCCCATGTCGTGCTGCACTACCCGCCCACCACACACTCCAGGCAGCTGTCAAGGACAAGGGGCCCTGGGGGAGCGTGGCGGGGATAGCTTCTTGCAGGGCCTCTGGTCCCCGTGGTCCTCCAGGCGGCGCAGACAGCTCCATCTGCATCCCCCATTCTGCCCCTGTCACAGTGTTTTCCTGACAGGCTGGGGGTGGTCAGCCTCTGGTGCAGCAAGGATAGGTCCTAGCCACAGCGTTCATTGAGTGCTTACTGGGTACCAGGCACGGTTCAGCTCCCAGACCCACCACTGGATTATCAGTGCCAACAAGATGATGAAGTGGCCACTTTTTTTACCCCCAGTTTACAGATGAGGAAACTGAGGCAGGAGAGGCCGAGGTCCTTATCCTCTTCCCCTCAGCTGCGACTATCAAGCAGGGCTGGCGTCTCGCCACTTCAGTGTGGCCTTCCTGGAGAGGGCTGCTGCTTCTAACCCTCGTCAGGCTCACCAGACTCACCGGGGACCCTCACGCCTCAGGAGTGGGAGTCTGGCTCTGCCCCCAGACCTTCTGTTTTGTTTGTTTGTTTGTTTGTTTTTTGAGATGGAGTCTTGCTCTGTCACCCAGGCTGGAGTACAGTGGTCCCATCGTGGCTCACTGCAACCTCTGCCTCCCGAGTTCAAGTGATTCTCCTCCCTCAGCCTCCCGAGCAGCTGGGACTACAGGTGTGTGCCACCATGCCCGGCTAAGTTTTTTTTTTTTTTTTTTTGAGATGGAGTCTCACTCTGTCACCCAGGCTGGAGTGCAATGGCACAGTCTTGGCTCACTGCAACCTCCGCCTCCGAGGACCAAGCAATTCTCCCGCCTCAGCCTCCTGAGTAGCTGGGACTACAGGCGCATGCCACCACACCCGGCTAATTTTTGTATTTTTAGTAGAGATGGGATTTCACTATGTTGGTCAGGTTGGTCTGAAATTCTTGACCTCGTGACATGCCTGCCTCGACCTCCCAAAGTGCTGAGATTACAGGCATGAGCCACTGTGCCTGGCAAGTTTTGTATTTTTAATAGAGATGGGGTTTTGCCATGTTGGCCAGGCTGGTCTTGAACTCCTGGCCTCAAGTAATCCACCTGCCTCAGCCTCCTGAAGTGCTGGGATTACAGGCATGAGCCACTGTGCCCAGCCTGCCCCCAGCCTTTCTGTGCCCTTCTGGACAGGAGTACCCTGTTCCCCCAAGCTGAGGCTCTTGGGCTCAGGTGCTAGGATGTATCTCACCTCCACCATTTACCCAACATGATCTGGGGCAGGTCAGTTCTCCCTGGGCCTCAGTTTACTCGTTGGTGAGTGGAGTCAATAATAGTTCCACTCATGACATTGTCTGGAGGTCAAGATGAGATAGTTCATGATGACCCAAAACGAGATCCCTGGTGTCTGGGACCCAGGGGCTGCCCCATGACTGACATGGTTGCTGAGGGAGGGCTGGATTCACCCTTGCTGGGAGGTCAGGAAAGACTGTGTCAGGCTCTGCCCTCTGGGAGGGGGTTGTTAAGCCCAGATGGCCACAGAGGGAAATTCTGAGGGACTGTCTGGCCCTGCGCCTTTTTTTTTTTTTAAGATGCAGTTTCGGCCGGGCACAGTGGCTCACGCCTATAATCCCAGCACTTTGGGAGGCCGAGGCGGGCGGATCACAAGTCACAAGGTCAGGAGATCAAGACCATCCTGGCTAACGTGGTGAAACCCCGTCTCTACTAAAAATACAAAAAATTAGCCGGGCGTAGTGGCGGGCACCTGTAGTCTCAGCTACTCGGGAGGCTGAGGCAGGAAAATGGCGTGAACCTAGGAGGCGGAGCTTGCAGTGAGCCGAGATCGCGCCACTGCACTCCAGCCTGGGCAACAGAGCCAGAATCCGTCTCAAAAAAAAAAAAAAAGATGCAGTTTCGCTCTTGTTGCCCAGGCTGGAGTGCAATGATGCAATCTTGGCTCGCTGCAACCTCCGCCTCCCGGGTTCAAGCGATTCTCCTGCCTTAGCTTCTCAAGTAGCTGGGATTACAGGTGCCTGCCACCATACCCAGCTAATTTTTTGTGTTTTTCGTAGAGATGGGGTTTCACCACGTTGGCCAGGCTGGTCTTGAATTCATGACCTTAGGTGATCCGCCCGCCTCGGCCTCCCAAAGTGCTGGGATTACAGGTGTGAGCCACCGCGCCCGGCCAAGGATCTGGGCCATTTAAGTGGAGTCTTGAAGGATGAGTAGGTGTTAGGCACAGACGCACAGAGGCAGGCAAAGCCACAGGCTGTTGGTTTAGGCAAAAATTGAGACTGGCTGGATAAAGTGGTCTTGGGGGACCATCACCAGAGAGGAGGCGCTGGAGGTCTGCAAGGCCTTGTCCTGCCCCTCCAGGGGTAGAGGTTCCAGGAGGGGCTGACTTTTTCTCCTGGAAGCCTCACAGAACTGCAGACCCCACGGATGGCTTGGTGTTGCCAACATGAGGCTTCTAAGGCTTCTGCGGGGAGATGGGTTGGTGGGGAGAAGCTGGGGGTGGCAGTGGACAGGACAGGGTGTGGGGACAGCTTTGGGAGCTATGCTAGGCAAGGACAAGGGACAACTCTTGGGGGGACTCACCCAGAGGGGTCTTGAATGGTGCTGAAGGCCCCCGACAGCCCTCCTGCAATAGCCACTGTAGCTCTGCCTGCACCTGGGCCTTCGCTCTGCTGTCGTCCCACCGGCAGGAGTCTGGCTAAAGGGGCATCCCTCAGCCCTACTCCCTCATCAGTGTTCCCAGTACCCACTCCCTGGCACTTCCACTCCTAGAGGGAGGAGGCTGAGCAGGCAGAGAATGGGACGTGTCCCCTCAGAGGAGCCTCGAGCCCAGTTCCAGCCAGCGGCCCACTCAGTGAGGTGCTCAAGTACCCACGTCCCCCGCCAGCTGCCAGGGTTCCCTCTCCTCCCTCCGTCCCTCCCCCCATCTGGGGAGCCCAGCGGTACTGAGGGGGCGGAACGAGGCGGGGCCACCGAGCGGTTATAGCTGGGCCTGCAGGGGACCCACGGCTCGCCTCCAGCCTCCTGCGCTCCGGTACCTGGGCGTCCCAACTCCACTGCGCGCCCAAACCCAGCCGAGCCGGTTCGTGGCCCGCCCCGCCGGGCGGCCGTCGACGCGAGCGCCCTGGCGTGGCGCCCAGGGGAGCGGGGGGCTCCCGCGAGCCGGCCGCGGCTGGCACTGCTGCTGCTTCTGCTCCTGCTGCCGCTGCCCTCCGGCGCGTGGTACAAGCACGTGGCGAGTCCCCGCTACCACACGGTGGGCCGCGCCGCTGGCCTGCTCATGGGGCTGCGTCGCTCACCCTATCTGTGGCGCCGCGCGCTGCGCGCGGCCGCCGGGCCCCTGGCCAGGGACACCCTCTCCCCCGAACCCGCAGCCCGCGAGGCTCCTCTCCTGCTGCCCTCGTGGGTTCAGGAGCTGTGGGAGACGCGACGCAGGAGCTCCCAGGCAGGGATCCCCGTCCGTGCGCCCCGGAGCCCGCGCGCCCCAGAGCCTGCGCTGGAACCGGAGTCCCTGGACTTCAGCGGAGCTGGCCAGGTACGTGAGAGGGGAGAGGCCTGGACCGCCGCGGGCAAGGGGGTCTCGGGAGGTCTGAGCCGGAGCACGGAGCCGCGCGTTCAGGGGGCACCCTCGGGCCCTTCCATTCCCTGCTCCGCGCCCAGAAGAGCTTTCCCTGGGCAGGCTCGACCCTGGCACCCGGGGGCGGTGGTTGGAGGGCCACAGCCTCCTCCCCACGGCCTTGCTGTGTTCTCGTTAGAGACTTCGGAGAGACGTCTCCCGCCCAGCGGTGGACCCCGCAGCAAACCGCCTTGGCCTGCCCTGCCTGGCCCCCGGACCGTTCTGACAGCGTCCCCCGCCCGCCCGTGGCGCCTCCGCGCCTGACCCAGGAGGAGTGGCCGCGCGCTTCCAGGAGCCGCTCATAGACCCCGCCTGCCGTCCGGTCAATAAAATCCGCCTGACTCCTGCGCCCCCGCATGCGACCCCTTCGTCTGCTTGTGTACTTTGCCGTCTAGCTCAGGGCGCAGACAGGCGCGCCCACGCCCTGGCAAATGTCAGGGGCCCCTCCCTCGCCGACCAGGGGAAGCGCCGGGCACTCAGCATTCATTTCAAACCTGGATCTCCCGGCACCCCCTCCCTCCCTTAGCCAAAGGCTTCCGCAGATTGATTAAGAACCCCTGGTCCCCTTCTTCTGGGTCATGCCCCGGGAGGAGGGGCCCCTCCACCTGAGCCCCACCTTGCTTCTTGCTTTTTTTTTTTTTTTTTTTTGAGATGCAGTCTCTCTTTGTTGTCCAGGCTGGAGTGCAATGGCGCGATCTCGGGTTACTGCAACCTCCACTTCCCAGGTTCAAGCGATTCTCCCGCCTCAGCCTCCTGAGTAGCTGGGATTACAGGCACCCACCATGATGCCCAGCTAATTTTTGTATTTTTGTAGAGACAGGGTTTCACCATGTTGGACGTGCTGGTCTTGAACTCCTGACCTCAGGTGATCCGCCCACCTCAGCCTCCCTCCCAAAGTGCTGGGATTACAGGCATGAGCCACTGCCCCTGGCTGCTCCTCTGCCTTTTTTTTTTTTTTTGAGACGGAGTCTGGCTATGTCGCCCAGGCTGGAGTGCAGTGGCGCAATCTCGGCTCACTGAAAGCTCCGCCTCCCGGTTTCACGCCATTCTCCTGCCTCAGCCTCCCGAGTAGCTGGGACTACAGGCGCCCGTCACCTCGCCCAGCTAATTTTTTGTATTTTTAGTTGAGACGGGGTTTCACCATGTTAGCCACGATGGTCTCGATCACCTGACCTCGT
>NW_013171812.1:0-59016 GCF_000001405.40 Homo sapiens
GTGTCCAGGCCTGGAAAGCGCCCAGCTGCTACTGAGGCCAGGGCTGCAGCCAGGCTGCCCCTCCCCCAGGTCTGGCTTTGGATGCTCATCTGAACACCGTCTCAGCTGCCTTCGCCCCTCCCTCGGCTCCTTTTGGCTGAGGAATCTCTCCATGGCTGCAGGCAGGGCCATTGTTGCCATTCTACAGATAGGGAAAGTGCGGCTGGGGGAGCTCTGACAGCCTGTCCCTCCCCGGGGCCTTCTGTGATGCTGCTGAGGGCCTCTGTTGTGCTGGGGTCTGGGTTGGAGCTGGGGGTAATGGAGATGAACCTGCCAGGCACAGTGGGTGCCCCAGGGCCCCCACCCCCGCAGCCTATGCCATCCCTCCATAGAGGGGCCTCAGGTTGCTGTCTCTCTCCTTCCCACTATCGTCCGCACAGCACTGCCATCTCCCCACACCCTCCAGGAAGTTCAGGTCGCCATCATAAACAACTCTATGTGCAACCACCTCTTCCTCAAGTACAGTTTCCGCAAGGACATCTTTGGAGACATGGTTTGTGCTGGCAATGCCCAAGGCGGGAAGGATGCCTGCTTCGTGAGTGTCCTTGCCACCACTCCCAGCCCAGGAAAGCATCCTGTGTCCCTGTGCCTTATTTGACCCTCATGCCAACCCCGGGAGGTGGAGACTGTTGCCCCACTCTGCAGATGCAGAAACGGAGGCTTGGCTGCTGCCAGGGGGAGGAGGAGGATGTGCACCCAGTCTACCCAGCCCCATAGCCCTTCCCACTCTCAGCCCCTCCCCTGCCCCACTCACTCTGCCCCAGGCTGACCTCAGCCCCGCTGCTCCCCAGGGTGACTCAGGTGGACCCTTGGCCTGTAACAAGAATGGACTGTGGTATCAGATTGGAGTCGTGAGCTGGGGAGTGGGCTGTGGTCGGCCCAATCGGCCCGGTGTCTACACCAATATCAGCCACCACTTTGAGTGGATCCAGAAGCTGATGGCCCAGAGTGGCATGTCCCAGCCAGACCCCTCCTGGCCGCTACTCTTTTTCCCTCTTCTCTGGGCTCTCCCACTCCTGGGGCCGGTCTGAGCCTACCTGAGCCCATGCAGCCTGGGGCCACTGCCAAGTCAGGCCCTGGTTCTCTTCTGTCTTGTTTGGTAATAAACACATTCCAGTTGATGCCTTGCAGGGCATTCTTCAAAAGCAGTGGCTTCATGGACAGCTCATTCTCTCTTGTGCAGACAGCCTGTCTGTGCCCCTGGCTCACACCCACATCTGTTCTGCACCATAGAACCATCTGGTTATTTCGATCAGAAAGAGAATTGTGTGTTGCCCAGGCTGGTCTTGAACGCCTAGGGTGGTCTCGATCCTCCCGCCTCACCCTCCTGAGTAGCTGAAATTATAGACGCACATCATGCTCAGCAATGGAACAGGAGTAGTTCCAGGGTGCCAGGAGCTGGGAAGCCTGGATTGGGGGTGTGTGCATTGGAGGAAACAATCCTGACATCCCTCACCCCACAAGGATCCGGCACAGAAACGCCAGACATCCTGATCTTACTATGGTTCCCCCAAGGCTGACCTAGGACCAGGACATAGGTGCAGGTAGTTTATCTGGGAGGGGATTGCAGGAAATGGGGAAACCGAGGCAGGGAAGGAAGGAACACCAATGAGCTTACACAAACATAGAGGGTACCATTCTAGGCAACTGGGGTGCAATCCTGTGGGGGCCTCAGCGTTGGCCCACTGAGGACAAGGACACCACGGTGGGCGTTTCTCTCTTGACCACTCCCCCCACCATGTTGAGAGTAGTTCTGGGGCACGGGATGCCTCAGAGCTGGGGCAGCCCCGAGGTGAGGCTCTGAGCACCCAGAAAGTAGGCAATAATGGTTCCCCTTGTGGGACTCCAGCTGGCTCCAAGTTCGAAAATCATGGTCCTCCCTTAGCGATGTTTTTATTTTTTTATTTTTATTTTTGCAGTTTATTGCATAAAGGAATTACACTAGTTCAAGTTAAAAGCAGACCTCAAATGGTTAAATTAGACAAACTGTGAGGTTTTAAAACTTGTAACAAGGGAAAGAAGGGAAATTCTACTCATTACAGGGAAATCCTCACTTAAGTTTCAGTGAGCCACAAGTAGTTAAAACCCTTGAACCATCAGCAGATCGTCCTTAGCCAGTCCCACCTCTACAAGGAACTGGCATATGTTCTTGCGCTGGTCACCCTGTAGCTGAATGACTTCTCCATATTCTGGATGCTCAATTACCGTCCCATTGCAGGGAAATTTCCTCTTAAATGCCTTCACTAGTTGCTTTTTATTGTAATCCTTAGTGATCGCTTAGACAGTGCTAAGGGTTTTCCTGTCATTTCTCTGTTAAATCCTTGCATGGATGTATTCCTCAGTGCCTGCAGGGAGCAGGTCATCACTCTTACTTAAATCAGCAAAGGGGTGGAAGAGTGGAGATTCTGGACAGTGGACATACGAGATGACTCCTTTTCCTCAGTGGAAACGGGCAAAACTCGGGCCAAGGCGCCAACAGCCACAGATTTCCAGCCAGAAAAACAACACCCCAGAGATCCTGTAACATTACGAAGGCTTTGGAATGTCATATTTAAATTGTTTATAGATCAGTTTTATCATCTACCTGTAGACTATATTGGACCCTAAATTCTAAGTTCCTCCAATCCAGTTTTCTCCTACGGAATTATTAAAACTGGAAGCTGCTCTTTCATAAATGCCCTGCGAGCTAAAACAAAACAACTTAACATAAATATCAAGGGACAAGTATTGTGCCTGATGTGTGGACCGCACAGAGTTCACCAACCATCCAAGGCCATAACCAGAGACATTTTAACTGCAAAATTGCCGGCTTCATACTGCAGCTTTTCCCAAGACCATCAAAACGAGATTCCGTATCATGGTGGTCCACTTACCTCTCTTAATGCGCACCTTTCTCCCTTGACAGGATAATGTGTAATTAAAATTTTACAGCCAGTAACTGCTTTGGGTAACTTAACAGAACTGGACCTAAAAACATGCTTCACTCCACCTAGTGGGTAACTTTGGCGATATCGCTAACACAACTTGTTCAAATTGTACTAGTGGTCCCTTTTATAGAGTTGGCCCTGTTTTCTGCTTTATTTCAACCCAGTCATGAAATGCTACTTAATGGCTACAATAGCTTTCAGCCAGTTTGCCTGTCATCCTTTTTTTTTTTTTTTTTTTTTTTTGAGACAGAGTCTCACTCTGTCACCCAGGCTGGAGTGCAATGGCACGATCTCAGCTCACTGCAACCTCCGCCTCCCTGGTTCAAGCAATTATCCTGCCTCAGCCTCCTGAGTAGCTGGGAGTGCCATCATGCCCAGCTACTTTTGTAATTTTTAGTAGAGACGGGGTTTCACTATGTTGGCCAGGCTGGTCTCAAACTCCTGACCTCTCGATCCACCCGCCTCGGCCTCCCAAAGTGCTAGGATTACAGGCGTGAACCACCATACCTGGCCTAGTTTTTTGTTTGCTTTTCGTTTGTTTGTTTGTTTGCTTTTGTTTTTTTAAGAGATAGGGTCTCGCTTTGGCACCTAGACTGGAGCCAGTGCAGTGACGTGATCCTAGCTCACTGCAACTTTGAAGTCCTGGGCTCCTTCCACCTCAGTCTTCTGAGTAGCTGGGTCTACAGGCCCACACTACCACCACCAGCTAAGTTGTTTAAAGTTATTTTTTGTAGAGACAAGTTCTCACTTTGTTGTCCAGGCTGGTCTCACGTGGGCAGTTAGCCCCAGACCTCCTGCCAGATGCCCCAGCCCAGCCAGGTGGTCCGGAATCCATAAATATTTTTTAAACCTGTGAATATACACTTCGAGATTTGTGATTTCGTTGTATGCAAATTGTGCTTCAAACTGGGAAAAGCCCAACCCCCCAAAAGTCTAGTTAACGATACGCATGTGGAAGTCCCTGAGGGTAAGTGAACTGAGGTCTGCACCTGACGTCTGAGGAAAGAAGATGAACCAATGAGTGGACGGAGGGTCCGGGACATGGACAAATGCAGTGACACCCACACAGGAGAATGCTGAGGACTGGAGAGGCAGGGATTGCGTGGGTGTCACTGTCACCTTTTACTCTCCAGTATGTCTGAATTTGGGTGGTAAATGTAGGGGAAATGTCTGTTGACTTTGTCCTTGGAGGACAGCTCCCCAGGGCCCATCCTCAGCTTCTGCCATCTTGGTCCATCTGGATCGTCCATCCTCGAGTCTGGAAAATTCCAGGCCCTCCACATGGCTTGCTGTGGGGGCTGCAGTCAGGAACTGGCCTCCCGGACCAGCGACGCCCCCCACAGGGCTACTCCCTCTGCAGCCTCCCAGGGAGGACTCAACCACTCTTGGGAAGGAGATGAGCAACTGACTCAAACCAGTCTGAGGCTGTTCCAGTGCCTGACACCATCGAGGGCCTCGTCCGGGCCGGTCCTCATGTATTAGTCCATTCTCACGCTGCTAATAAAGACATACCTGAGATTGGGTATTTTAGAAAGGAAAGAGGTTTAATTGACTCACAGTTCAGCGTGGCTGGGGAGGCCTCAGGAAACTTACTATTAGGGCAGAAAGGGAAGCAAACACATCCTTCTTCACATGGTGGCAGCAAGGAGAAGTGCCAAGCAAAAGGGGGGAAATCTCTGTATAAAACCATCAGATCTCGTGAGAATTCACTCTCTATCACGAGAACAGCAGCATAGGGGTAACTCACTGCCCACGACTCAATTACCTCCCACCAGGTCCCTCCCACAACATGTGGGAATGATGGGAACTACAATTTAAGATGAGATTTGGGCGGGGACACAGCCAAACCGTATCACCTTAATAAGACGGACTCGTTTCCCCCCAGCAGACGGCTGGCGGCCGCACACATTGTCTCGCTCCTCCCTCCCAACAGCCTCAGGTGCTGAGGTGTGCTAGAGGCTTATCTACCGATAGAGAAACCGAGGCTGGGAGTGGCTGCGGGAGGTGCAGTCAGGAACAGGGTCGGAGTGTGGCGCCGGGCCAGGCCGCTCAGGTCCCTTATCATGGAATCTACCGGGGCAGGTGCGAAGGCTGAGCCCAACATCCTTCCTCCATTCACAGGACAGGGCCCGAGCAAGTCAGCTGGAGCACAGCCACGGAGGTGGACAGGGTCGGCCCCCGTGGGGCACTTCCTGGCCCCCAGGAGAGGAGGTCAGGAGAGTGGGGCGAGCCCCAGGTTCTAAGCAGGTGCCTGCCTCAGGAGAGAGTCAGGGGGATGCTAACCAGGTGCTGTGGCTGTCTTTGTCTCCCCAAAGTACATATGTGGAAGCTCTAAGCATATGTGTCAAGAGGTGGGACCTTTGAAAGTAATTAGGTTTAGATGAGGTCATGAGCACAGGACCTCCAGTGATGGGCTAAGGCCCTTATAAGAAAAGGAGACCAGGGCTCTCCTCTTCGCCCCTCCCCAGATAAGAGGACACAGTGAGAAGATGGGGGTCTGCTCGCCAGGAAGGAGCCCTCACCAGCAGCCGCATCGCTCAGCACCTTGATCCTGGACTTCCAGCCTCCAGAGCTGTGAGAAACAAACCTCTATCATCTACCAGCCGCCCACGGCGTGGGATTTGTGTTACAGCAGCCTGAGCTGACCCAGACGCCAAGGAGCAACACACGCACCAGGGTAGGCTGGAGAAACCAGAACCCGGGAATCCCGCCTCCCTCAACTTGAAACTTGGGAATAGTGTATTCTCTTTTCAACACTTGCACTAGTAGAAGGTTAATTACATGAAAGATTAGGCAAAATGTATGGCTATGTGTCCTGGTTTTCCAATAAAAGTATTGAGTTTCTCTGGGGAAAGTGCAGATAAAATGCTTAGTGGAGGCTGGGCGCTGTGGCTTATGCCTGTAATCCCAGCACTTTGGGAGGCCGAGGCAGGCAGGCAGATCACAAGGTCAGGAGTTTGAGACCGGCCTGGCCAATATGATGAAACCCCGTCTCTACTAAAAATACAAAAATTAGCCAGGCGTGGTGGTGGGTGCCTGTAATCCCAGCTACTCGGGAGGCTGAGGCAGGGGAATCGCTTGAACCTGGGAGGTGGAGGTTGCAGTGAGCCGAGATCGAGCCACTTGCACTCCAGCCTGGGCAACAGAGACAGACCTCGTCTCTAAAAAAAAAAAAAATGCTTAGCACAGGCGTGGCACCAACGGGAACTCAGTGAGTGTGCCGCGGGCATGCGGGAGCTGTGCTTTCAGGAGCAGAAGGCTGCGGTGCCTTCCCTCAGGGCCTCTTTCCGCAGCAGCAGCCGCTCAAGGGCAAGTCCATGGGCACAGCCCAGCTTCGGCCTGGTGGGGTTGGGGCAGAGGCCCCTGGGCTTCTGATCCTGCCCCTCCCCCAGCCAGCAGGACCTTCCCTCTGGTTCCTGAGTCCCAGGGAGCCGCCAAGGCCCTGGGAGGAAACAGCTCCTGACTTTGCTCAGAGTCTCATTCAGGACAGTCCTACCCAGAGATCCAAGCCAGGGACTCATGTTCCTGCCTCCAGTGAGGCTGGGGGCTTCCCACAGAGGCTCAGCCTGGCCCCCAGGCCACAGGAAGGCCCCGCCAACTGAGTGGGTGCAGATGGAGACCCTCTTGTCTGCTGTGCCTCAGGCTGCAGAGCCACAGAGGGGTCTTCCCAAGCCCCACACCTGGAGGGCAGGGAGGACAGGGACTTGTGGCCCTAACCCGACTCCTGACACACAAGGGCCAGCCGGCCCGGGCCACCTCTGCAGGCAGGAGAAGGCCTCATTGTTCCCTTCTCCTGGCAGAATGAGGACTGGGGCGTGCCCCGGGCAGGAAATAAATGCTCAGTAAATCCCTGTTTTGGGAGCCCTGATCCCAAGGGACAAAGGGCCTGTGTTGAGTCTCCCTGAGCACGGGCTCGGGGCCAGCACTTGGGCCATGGCAGATGGAGGGTGGGAGGGGGGTGCCTCCCACCAGGTGGGCTTCTTCCCCAGGTCAGGCACGCAGGTGAGGAGGAGTGTCCTCGTGTGTGCATGCCCCCCGCGTGCAGGAGAGGCTGAGCGGGCGTGTGTGTCTGGGTGCATGTGTGTGCATCCATCTTCAAGTGCACGTGTGTGAACAAGTACGTGTGATCTCTGTGTTCGCGCCGTCTGAACATCCCCTCCAGTGTGCTCTCTCTTCCTCCAAGTCCCCCCAACCCCAGCTGGTGCTTCTGGAGTCCTGGCTCAGACGACTTTCCGTCTGGGCATCAAACCCTGCCAGCCTGGAGTTAGAAAGAAGGCCCCTGAACTGCCAGCAAAACATGGAAAGGCGCCCTCAGGCTGGGCTGGGGCAAGAACACAGCCCCTTTGTGCCACATCTGAGCTCCTGCCTCTGACAGCTGTGCTGGCCGAGGGCTTGGCCTTTTCCACCTCCACCTCCCTGAAGAAGGCTCCTCCTGAGAGGGGCTCCGCTGACCCTCCCCTGGCCTGGGCTCTGCTTCCCCTGAAATCAGAGGAGCGCTTGAGGGGGTGCAGAGAGGTGCAACTGGGGCCTCACCTTGAAACACTAGTCAGTGGGAACCCAGCCCTCACCAGCCCCTCCAGGGAGATGGTGCAGGTGCCAGAAGAAGGGCCAGGTGTCAAGGCTAATGTGCTGCTCTGCTCCTGCCCCGTCAGGGCTGGGGTGTCACGGGGAGCCCCCTTCCTGACTCTGCCATCCAGCACCACGGACAGGGCTTTGGTGGTTCTTTGGGAATAGGTATCAACCAGGGGTGGGCGGACGTTTTGTGTGAAGGGCCAGATGGTACAATTTTAGGTTCAGGGGCTGCAGGTCTCTGTCACAGCCATGTGAGCTTCTGTGCAAGCATGAAGACAGCCACAGGCCACATGCCAATGAGCGCACGGCGGCTGTGGGCCAGTGACGCTTGACTTAATGAACTGGAGCATGGGAATTTCAAAGAATTTTCATGGACCACAAGACATCGTTCTTTTGAATGTTTCCTAAGAATATTAACATGTAGGAAGCATTCTTTGCTCATGGGCGAGGCAGAAACAGGAGGTGGTTGGCTGGGCCATAGTTCGCCACCCCTGGCGCAGGCACCTGGTTCAAGTCGTGAAAGTCCTGCTCCTCCCGCAGCCCCTGCCCACCCTCATCCCGATGAGACCGGCGTCCCCGTTCCTGGTGAGCCAGCACTTCCAGAGCCAGTCTGTGCATGCACAAAGCCCTTCTTTGCACCCATCTTCCTGGGAAGCATGTGGGGTCCACACACACTGGTCTTCCAGCCTGTTTCCCTGGGGGATGGGTGTGCAGTGGGAGTGTCCCCCACCCTCTCCACCCAAGTTTTCCACAGCCAGGGATCCACCACCCGGGCTCTCGGCATCTCCAGGTGGATGCGCCCGTGATTTCTCAGCTTTTGCTCTTTCCAAAAATTAGCGTTGTACACTCTCCCCCAAGGCATAAAGTCTAAGGCTCAGGGCAACCAGCCCTGGGGGCCTCCCCTCCAGGGAGGCCCTCACAGCACCCTCAGGGGGAGGTTCTGTTGTTATCCGCAGAACAGAGGCCCAGAGAGGTGAAGCAAGAGCCCGCAGATCCCAGCCCCGCTACGTCAGGAAGCCCGGCTGGACCCACGTCTGGCTCCAGGGTCCTGTGTTGGTGATCACAGCCCTGTGGCTGTTCCCAGCGGTCACAGGCCCTGAGGAGCTTCAGTCCCTGGAACACACACAAGAGGTGTCCTGAGGACACGCATGGAACTGCGCTTGAGCTGCAATCTGTCCCCTAGTTCCCGCCTCGCTTGGGCATCTGACGGCCTTTATCTCTTCTCCCCTGATCCTTATCCGACACCCCAACTCTTCTGCAGACTCCAGTTCCTTCCCAGTGCCCTGGGTCCTTCAGGGTCCTTGGGATGAGACATCTCCGAACACGAGCTTTTCTCAGCTGGCGTCTGAGGGTGATGGCGTTCTGCCCACAGGCATCCGCCTGCACAGGCCTCCCTGACAAGAGGGGCTGAGGGGGAAAGGAGTGAGACAGAAAACCAGCAGGGCCCCGGGGACCGAGCCCTGGAGAAGCGCCAGTTCCCGCCCAGATGAGGGCCGACACCTCGGAAGGACCGGCCTGGGGGGTCGCCCTCCCCAGGCCCTCTGCCTCCCATCGTGGCATGGACTGCACCTTTGGTGTCCTTCCCTCCCATGGCCTCTGAGTCCCTGAACACTGGCTCATACCTGCTCCACCCAGATACAGCACAGAGGAGAGACCCGGGCAGCCTCTAAGGGCAGTGCCTTGAGGGCCAGTGCCTGGTGCACCTGCCGCACAGGGCACAGGACACAAAGGGCTGGGTGATCCATTCAGGCTCTCTCAGGGCCCGCGTCGAGCTCGGCCTGGGTCCCAGGAAGGCTGCCAGGCACCAGGTGCTGCCTGAGTCCGAAGGAGGCCCTGACTCCAGGTCGCCCACGGCAGGAGTGGGCCCCACGGAGCTTCTGTGGACCCTTGACCCGCCACCCTCAGGTGGAAGCCATCAGGCTGCGCTGGATAAGCCAGCCTCTCCCCACCTCTGCCATTCAAGTCGGTGCCAGTGCTGACTGGAGAGATCCCAGAGATAACTGTGAAATGCCTGTCACTGTTCTCAGCTTCGTTTATGTAGGCTGCAGAGCCAAGACAGCAAATACTGCACATCCGGGAGCCTCCCCAAGGCCGGCCCTGGGCCTTCCCCCAGGAAGAGCCCCACGGCCAGCTCCTTCCTGTTCCCCTGGCGGCCCCTCGCTTCTTCCTTCTGGATGGGGGCCCAGGGGGCCCAGGAGAGTATAAAGGCGATGTGGAGGGTGCCCGGCACAACCAGACGCCCAGTCACAGGCGAGGTAAGGTGCTTGGCTCCATGGGTGGGGCCCGGCAAGGTCACACTGGCCCTTGCTTTGGAGTCAGGAGGCCTCTCTTCTTCCCACAGAGCCCTGGGATGCACCGGCCAGAGGCCATGCTGCTGCTGCTCACGCTTGCCCTCCTGGGGGGCCCCACCTGGGCAGGGAGTAAGTCAGTGGGGTCTGCCCTCAATCTCCCCTGCCTCCCTCCAGGAGAGCCAGGGACTCACCCGGCCCTTGTCCCAGACTAACTCTGGTCACAGAACCATCCTGTCTGCCTGGAGGGGTGGGGTCCCCTGTTCTGGCAGAGGTCACCCCCATATCACCGCATGGGGATTTTCTTCCCTTTGGGTCTCTCTTTTCTTCAGAGATGTATGGCCCTGGAGGAGGCAAGTATTTCAGCACCACTGAAGACTACGACCATGAAATCACAGGGCTGCGGGTGTCTGTAGGTCTTCTCCTGGTGAAAAGGTGAGTAGGGCTATGGTCATGGGCCCAGCGCCATGTCCCCTCCCATCCCACAGTTTCAGGAACTCAGGGCAGGGGGTAAGCACCCGTGGCCACTTTTGCCACACATGCCTGGCTACTGTCGATGCTTCCTGGCTCCCGCTGATGCTTCCTGGCTGGAGCGGAGACGGTCAGACCGTCCTCCCTACCTTCTCCCTTCAACCCAAGCTCAACTCAACCAAAAATGGCCCCTCTGTCCCCATGCCTGATAGGAAAGTCAGGGGAAAGTCTGTCCGATTACTGTCAAAGAAGACAGGAGGTAAGGGTCAGAGTGGACCACTGACTGAATATGAGTCGCAGAAGTGTTAGAGGCAGAAGTCCAGGGCCATTTCCTTAATATCGAAGTGTCTCTGCTGGAGGTCTGGGATGGATTTTTGCCCTGCATTTAGAAGTTCTGGGGTCCTGGGAGAGGGGAGAGAAGCCCAATAGCAGAGGAGACAGAGTGTGGGCGGGGCGAGCCGGAGGGGTGCATCCTGGGAGAGCACCAGGGTGAGGGAGGGGTGAAGATGAGCCCCGTCAGGGAAGCGCTGGCGAGTGTGGGAAGTCACCTGCCCCTCGGCCTGTGAGCTGCTCTGCTTGGAGTGACTAAGGCTCGGGAGGTCCAGGCTCGGCCAGAGGCAGCTCATATGTGGGCCACAGTGACGGCAGCTGGTGCCTTCTGGGTCACGGAGACCTGGCGCTGCACGCAGCTCTCCTCACCAGGATCTCAGTGACTCCTCCCAAAAGTCACACCCACTTTGCAGACGGGGAAACTGAGTCCGGAGAGGCTGGGTAACGAGCTCAAGATCACAGGGCCCAAAAGTGGTAGAATCAGGGTTGGTGACCAGTGAGTCTGTGTCAGGGACCCAAAGTCTGATGGTGCTGGACTCTCTGCATCCCGGGAAGGAGGATGGGGGCGCTGAGGACCCGGGATGTGCTGGGCCATCCCAGATCTGGACGTCCAAAGCTTTGCCTCTCTCCCAGTGTCCAGGTGAAACTTGGAGACTCCTGGGACGTGAAACTGGGAGCCTTAGGTGGGAATACCCAGGAAGTCACCCTGCAGCCAGGCGAATACATCACAAAAGTCTTTGTCGCCTTCCAAGCTTTCCTCCGGGGTATGGTCATGTACACCAGCAAGGACCGCTATTTCTATTTTGGGAAGCTTGATGGCCAGATCTCCTCTGCCTACCCCAGCCAAGAGGGGCAGGTGCTGGTGGGCATCTATGGCCAGTATCAACTCCTTGGCATCAAGAGCATTGGCTTTGAATGGAATTATCCACTAGAGGAGCCGACCACTGAGCCACCAGTTAATCTCACATACTCAGCAAACTCACCCGTGGGTCGCTAGGGTGGGGTATGGGGCCATCCGAGCTGAGGCCATCTGGGTGGTGGTGGCTGATGGTACTGGAGTAACTGAGTCGGGACGCTGAATCTGAATCCACCAATAAATAAAGGTTCTGCAGAATCAGTGCATCCAGGATTGGTCCTTGGATCTGGGGTACAACCAAAGCCTTCCCTGCTCCTTGGAGACAAAGTCCCCAGTGCTGCAGCCCAGTGAACTGAGATGAGGGGTAGGGCAAAGGTGACTCTGCCGAGGACAGAAAGAGAGCAGCACCACCCCCTCAGAGGTGCTGTGGATCTCTGTGCCAGTCCCACAATCTTTGAAGAGTCAGGCTTCAAGGCCGCCACTCCCCACTGTCCCTCACCCCAGGCCCACCCAGCGGGCCTCTGCTGGCCACTCAGTCCCGGGATTCTCTGAGTGCTCAAGGGGCCTCAGGGAAGCCACTCACTCATCCATTCACTCAGCAAACATTTGCCAAGGCCGTGTCCTCACCAGGCTCGCCTGGCACTGGGGGTATAAAGAAGAGGCCAGGTTTCAGCTGAGTGCGTATACACTGTGGTGGGGGCTGGTGCAGAGGCAGATAGTGGCAGTTCACTTTGCCATCTGCATGGATGGGGACACATGCAGGTCATTGTGCGTAGGCACCTGCCCAGAGGTGAGGTGAGAGGGATGTGCTTCAGGGAAGTCTTCCTAGAGGAGGCAATGTCTGAGCTAAGTCTTAAAGGATGAAGGACAATTGGCCAAGTGGAGACAAAGGGAGGAGGGGATTACAGGTTGAGGGCTCAACATGAGCAAAGACAGGAGATGCAGATGGCTGGGGTAATTTGTCACAGTAGCAACAGGAAATCAGTACAAGCCCTGGACCTGGCCCATTCTTCATGTCCCCTTCCCAAGCCTCCAAGCCCACATGGGCACTTGCCAAGATCAGAGCTCCAGGGGCCTCCAGGGACGGGGTTTTCAGTCCTTTGGGACCATGATCCACAGAGAGAAATTGATCCTACTTGAGACACAGGAAGCAACACATGTAATGCAACAGCCAAGCACCCAACGATCATCTAATGCAACAGCCAAACACCCAGCGATCATCTAATGCAACAGCCAAACACCCAGTGATCATCTAATGCAACAGCCAAACACCCAGCGATCATCTAATGCAACAGCCAAACACCCAGCGATCATCTAATGCAACAGCCAAACACCCAGTGATCATCTAATGCAACAGCCAAACACCCAGTGATCATCTAATGCAACAGCCAAACAGACAAGTGATCATCTAATGCAACAGCCAAACAGACAAGTGATCATCTAATGCAACAGCCAAACACCCAGTGATCATCTAATGCAACAGCCAAACAGACAAGTGATCATCTAATGCAACAGCCAAACAGACAAGTGATCATCTAATGCAACAGCCAAACACCCAGTGATCATCTAATGCAACAGCCAAACACCCAGTGATCATCTAATGCAACAGCCAAACAGACAAGTGATTATCTAAGGCAACAGCCAAACACCCAGCGATCATCTAATGCAACAGCCAAACACCCAGCGATCATCTAATGCAACAGCCAAACACCCAGCGATCATCTAATGCAACAGCCAAACACCCAGCGATCATCTAATGCAACAGCCAAACACCCAGCGATCATCTAATGCAACAGCCAAACACCCAGCGATCATCTAATGCAACAGCCAAACGCCCAGTGATCATCTAATGCAACAGCCAGTCAGTGATCACGGGAAGGGCCAGGTCCTATTTCAGGGGCTCCACCCAAAGTCCCCACCCACAACAATTGAAGGACAGGACTTCAATTATCCTCATTTGCAAAATGAGGAAACAGAGGAACTGAGAGCAAAGTGACTTGTCCCACGCAGCCGTTAGAGGTAGAGTTGGAGGTCCACCTTGAGGTGACCAAGCTGCAAAGTCTGGCCACTGAACACCAGACCTAGGCAAAGATTTCCCAACCCAGTTTCATCTTTCTGCATGAAATACACACAGACGTTTTTTCTCTTCTCTACTTTTATTTTTATTTAATTTTAAATGCTGGTTGAGAGCCACTTCTTAACCTGGGGTCTGTGGACAAAAATCAGAAATCAAAATTCAGAGAATCCATGAACTGGGATGGGGGGGGGGAAATTACCTCTTTTTTTTTTATTGCCCTTGACTGAAAATTTCATGTTTCCTTCGGGTATGAATGTGACCTCACATGCAACACCCATGAAATGACCACATCAAATACTGTTGTCACAGACACCTTGAAATTTACAGCCGTCACCACTTCAAAATTATGGTGATCAGACTTGCCATTCAACGTGTTGATAATCCAAGCCCAGGCACAGAACACATTTAAGAAAACATTTTGGGCCGGGCACAGTGGCTCACGCCTGTAATCCCAGTACTTTGGGAGGCCGAGGCGGGCAGATCATGAGGTCAGGAGTTCCAGACCAGCCTGGCCAACATGGTGAAACCCAGTCTCTACTAAAAATACAAAAATTAGCCGGGCATGGTGGCGTGCGCCTATAATCCCAGATACTCAGGAGGCTGAGGCAGCAGAATCACTTGAACATGAGACGTGGAGGTTGCAGTGAGCCAAGATTGCACTACTGCACTCCAGCCTGGGTGACAGAGTAAGACTCTGTCTAAAGAGAGAAAGAAAGAAAAGAAAAGAAAAGAGAAAAGAACTGAGTCCCAAGCACTGCTTGTGGAAACCAGTTTCTGCTGAAGTGTTTTGAGTATGTGTGCCAATATTACTAGAGTGCTAGTAAGTCTCCTGTGATTTGGATCTTCTTTTTTCTGGGATGAGGGGATGGATGGATGGATGGATGGATGGATGGATGGGTGGGTGGGTGGGTGGGTGGATGAATGGATGGATGGATGGGTTGATGGGTGGGTGGATGGATGGGTGGATGAATGGATGGGTGAGTCAGTAAATGGATGGATAGGTCGGTAGATGGGTAGGTGGGTGGGTGAATGGGTGGAATAATGGATGGATAGGTGGATGGCTGGATGGATGGGTGGGTGAATGGGTAGGTGGGTAGGTGGGTGGGTGAGTGGGTAGATGCATGGATGGATGGATGAATTTATGAGTCAGTAGATGGGTGGGCGGGTGGATGGATGGACAAATGGGTGAGTGGATGGATGGATAAGTGGGTGGGTGGGTGAGGGGATAGATGGACAGAAAACACACTAGCGGGACCAGGCACAGTGGCTCACACCTGTAATCCCAGCACTTTGGGAGGTCGAGACGGATGATCACTTGAGCCCAGGAGTTCAAGACCAGCCAAAGCAACACAGCGAGACCCTGCCTCTACAATCTACAAAAATACATAACCAGGCGTGGTGGCGTGGGCCTGTAGTCCCAGCTACTTGGGAGGTTAAAACAGGAGAATCACTTGAGCCCAGGAGGTAGAGACTGCAGTGAGCTGAGGTCGCGCCATTGCACTCCAGCCTAAGAAACAGGAGTGAAACCTTGTCTCAGAAAAAGAAAAAAGAAAAAGAAAGAAAGGAAAAGAAAAAAAAGAAAAGGAAAGGAAAGAAAAGACACTAGCATTCATCACGATCCAATTTTGGACCAGGCGCAATGGTGAGTGCTTACACAAGGACTGCCTCATTTAATCATCACAAACACCCTTGCGGTGGGTGTTAATCTCACATTTTTAAAGACAAGGAAGCCCAGGCTGAGCGAGTGAGTCATGGAATTCCAACCGCAATCCCACAGTCCTCCTGCCACTTCCTGCTCAGGTGTTGGCCCAGTCCCACCATTGTGGGGGGAGGTTCTTTCCTGAGAGTCCCTGCGTCCCAAGTGCCCAAATACTTCAGCCACCACAACATGTGATTTTCTTGTCCTGGAATTCTGAGGTCCACATGCATACAGTGCCGCTGGCAGAGCCTGCTGTAATCCTGAGAATTCCTTTTCATCGACTCACTGCAAGTTCAGAGACAAGGCATCGACTCACTACAAGTTCAGAGACAAGGTGCGTGCCAGACCTGCACCCTGGGCTCCAGGGTGAGGAAGGAACCGCTCGTCCTACGCTGGGTCCCTGCCTCTGCTCCTGCTTGTCACCCTTGGCCAAACGTTCCCCAATCCCGAGCGGCTCTGGCCTTTGGACAGAAGTCAGCCTGTCAGCCTTCTGGAACACCTGCGTCCATTGTGGCCACTTCCTCATCCCCAGACCGGCTCAGTCTTGCAGGGGCGTTTGAATTGTTTCCTCCTACACAACACTGAACTGTGCAGCTCCCGCCCCGACCTGTCTCTAAACAGTGTCACTAGTCCCAAGGCCTCCTGCAGGCCACTGGGCCCACAGACAGGCCAACCAGCAAACTGGGGGTCCCACTGAGAGACACCTGGTGCTGGTTGCCGTGCACTTAGAGTGGGCCAGGCAGCTGGAACCTAAGAGGAGCTGCTGGAGGAAGTGGAGCACCTTGAATGTCACCTGGACTCACGTCTGCCCCTACCGCCCCCTCGGACCCGCACCCACCCCCCGGCCCAGGCACCAGGTGAACCCTCTGTGTCTTTCCAACAAGCCCCAGGCAGGAGGGGCTTCACAAGCAGAAGCACCAGTCTTGTAAGTCCTCTACAAACAGCACCTGTGTGAGGGGCCAGAGAAAGAGAAGACAAAGAGGGCTGTGTGCGCACCACAGTCCAGGTCAGGCGCGGAAAATCCTTCTGTAGCTTTTGCTGTTGGCTGAGGCCCCTTCCTTCTAACTCACCGTTGGCAGAAGTCGGATGCCTCGGAGAGAAAAGAGGCTCAGCAGGCTTCCCCTGCCCGTGGGGGTCAAGGAGCGTTCGTGCTGTCCACTGCCAGGAAATGTGGGGGGTTCTGAGGACCACACAGACACACACACACACAAATACACACCCATTCAAACATACACACAAAATACACATGCAGACACACACGCACACAAATACACACCCATATACACATACACACAAATACACACCCACCCAGAGACACACACAAATACACACCCATACACACATACACAGACAAGCACATACACAAATACCTACACACACACAAAAATACCCACCCACACAGAGACACACAAATACACACCCACTGACACACACACACAAATACACACCCATCCACACAGAGACACACACACAAATACCCATTCACATACACGCAAATACACACCCACCCCCACACAAATACACACCCATCCACAGAGACACGCACACACACATACCCATACATACATACACACACAAATACACACCCACCTCCCCACACACCCAGACACACACACACACCCACACACCCATTCACATGCACGCAAATATACACCCAGCCCCCCATGCAAATACCCACACAGAGACACAGACACACAGAAATACACACCCACCCAGAGACACACTCACAAACACACACCACAGAAACACACACACACATACATACATGCAAATACACACCCATACACAGACACACAAATACCCACAGACACACACACCCACACACACAGACACATACACATACACACACCTACCCCACAGAGACACATACAGAGATGCAGACACATACACAAATACACAAACACGTATGTACACACACACACACATGCACATAAAAGTACACCCACACCCATCCACACACAGGCACACACAAACACACATAAATACACACCCACACACAGACACATCCACACACAGACAGGCACACAGCCTGGACAGGGGCCTCCTGGATGGGAGTGGATCCTGGCACAGGGCTGATGGCACAGCAGCCCTGGTCAAGGTCATCTGGGGAAGAGACTGGGGGGGGTCCTTGGGCACGGTGGCTCACGCCTGTCATCCCAGCACTTTGGGAGGCTGGGGCAGGCGGATCACTTGAGGTCAGAAGTTCAAGACCAGCCTGGGCAACATGGTGAAACCCTGTCTCTACTAAAAATACAAAAATTAGCCGAGCATGGTGGTGTGCACATGTACTCCCAGGTAGGCTGAGGTGGGAGGATCGCTTAAGCCCAGGAGGTCGAGGCTGCAATGAGCTGAGATTGAGCCACTGCACTCCAGCCTGGGCAATAGAGCAAGACCCTGTCACAAAAGAAAAAAGGAGAGAGAAACTGAAGGGGCTGATATGCAAGGAGGGAGGCTGAGTGCTTCTGAGACATCCTTGGTGCTTCAGGCCTATGTGACGGAGGGCTGCCAACTCTAACATTAAAGCAGAAATCCAGAAGTGAGGATTTTGTTTTAATCCTTCACTTTCCCTCCTCACTAGATTTCTGGAAGGAGTTATTTATGAGTGAAGAGCTGGAGAATCCATTCGCAAACTGATGCATGAAAGTGATTAGCAAGAGAAAGTTGTGAGACAAAACAGAGAAGCTGAGAGGCCAGAAACCTCTACCCAGGACGCTGAGCTCCTGGCGGATCCGATGAGTCCCTCCAGGACACCGTCCACCCTGGGATGAAGGCAGAGGAGTTGGAAGGAGGCGAGGCCGTCACGGGACAACAGGACCCTATGAAGGTGGGCCCACAGCAAAAGGAGAGATGATTCTAGAGCATCCAGTCTTCTAGGGCAGCAAAACAACCTAAATTTTCTAAGAGGCCACCCAGCTGAGGGTGCCCCCGGGGAGGGCTGAGGCGTCAGGGTGACGGCTCCACTGCCCACTCACCTGCGACCTCAAAGCCCCTCTCCTCCTTGGGGTGCTCCTGACAGCCACCTCCAGGGCAGGCGAGTGGCGCTGGGACAAAGGCTGGCCCGACTGCGCCCCACCCAAGCAGACGGTCCTTCCCCCAGACCTGGCGCCAAACTGGAGTGAAAGCCCGACCACCGTGTCTCACAGGGAAACTGACACCAGATGCGAACTTCCAAATGGATCCCTCCCTGCAAGTGTGGAGCTGGCGCTACCAGGCACTGCTCTGGCCATGCGTCTAAGACACAGGCAGAGGGCGCTGCCCACCACGCTGGCGACGGCCTCAAAGCCCCTGTTCATGCCTGGGACAGCGCCCAAGGACCTTGCTCATGCCTGGGACAGGCCCCAGGGCCCCCACTGGCTGCAGTCAGCAGCGGGCAGGGTGGTGGGGGAAGGTATGGACACTCCGTGGGCCGGAGCTGGGAGAACAAGGCCTATTATTGGACACCTGGTGGCCATGGCAACCACACAAGGATGCCTGAGACTGAAAATCTGTGGGCTTCAAGGAGCTCCAGCTCTTGCACTGGCTGAGTCACAGTGACTATATAACTCTTACTCCCACTTTTGGGACACTTTTTGAGAGGGACAGGGATCCTATCTAACTACACGGGACAGACATCGCCCAAGACCGTCCTGAGCAAGCCTGGACGCTGTGACCCTAACGATGAAGGTGTCCCGCAGACAATGTCCGGGGCAGGCACCATGCTCTCCCAACCTACCACAGCCAGATGTTTTTGTAAAGAACAATAAAAATGAATTACTAGAAAAGCAAAGACATAAAATACACATAAAAAACCTACAGTTTTTATTATTAGATTCCATCAATCCTACCAGAAAGGGGATCCCGGACTCCATGGCTCATGGTTCACAGGGACCCAAGCAAGCATACGGTCAACAGCTCAAGCAGCAGCACTGGGTGGGATCTGGAGGTGCCTGAGTGGGATCCTGGGGCACCTGGGCGGGCCCCAGACATGCCTGAGTGAGATTCAGCCAGGGTTCTCTGAATCCAGTCTGTGTAGCTTAGCACCTGGGTGTAGACACCAGGCCGGAAAGGCCGGGCACAGCCGAATCCCCAGCTCACAATGCCGGCCTGGATCCACGTATCATTGATGGGGCAGACCAGCGGCCCCCCGGAGTCACCCTGGGGGAGAGAGAGGGAGGGCCCCATGAGGTCTGCATTGAGGGAGACACCTGGGCCCCAAGTGCCTTCGAGAATCTGCTGCTGAGGCCAAGGAGCTAGGCAAGGACTCTGGTCCCTCTGGAGACCCTGAGGTGTGGGACATGGGGAGAAAGTCCAGGACAGGGTGAGCCTAAAGGGCCCACACAACTGGATGGGGTGACCAGGAGCTGCAGTCACCTGGCAGGAGTCTTTCTTGCCCTGGACAGAGCCAGCACAGAGCATGTCGTCCTGGATGAGGCGCTGGCCAGCCAGGCTGGGCTCTCCTAGGTGGTACATCAGCTCACACATGTTCGAGTCCAGGAGGGGCACAGCCACCTCCTGAAGGACACTCGCCAGGGCTGGATGTGATGTGGGGGCCAGCCTGAGCCCACCTCAAGCCTCGTCCCCATCAGGTGAGCCTCTGCCCTCTCACCTGTGATGGTGGCAGCCTGCACCTCCTACCTCTTCTCTGCCCACCCACCCTGCTCTTCTCAACTCCCAAACCAGGAGGCAGTGGGGTCAGGGAGCAGGGCTCAAGCCCAGATCCTCTCCCATGACCCTGGCTAATCTCATGACCTCTTAGCCTTGGCTTATTCATCCCAACACGGGCACAATCCTGGACACTGGCTCAAGATCCCCAAAATCCAATATGGTGGTCACCTTGGCCAAGGGGAGTCCCACAGTCTGGACAGCATGGGTCCTGGCCCCAAGTGTTCCCAGCTTCAGGGTGGGGTGGGAGGGGAGAGGAGATAAACACGCAGACCAACGTCTGTGGAGACCACTCAGGCTGGCTCTGCGTGGTCCCTGGGCTTGTCCTCCCTGACTAGGAGTAGGGGCTGGTGAGTGCATATTCCCCTTCCCCCTCTCCTGAGTGGACCCCCAGCCCGTTTACCCAGCACACGGTCCCAATGGCGAGGGGGGTCTGGGGTCCTGGGAGGCAGATGGGGCTGAACTGGGAGGCCTGCAAGGGGGAGTCCAGCTCCATCAGGGCAATGTCCCCGCTGGTGGTGGTCCCATGGTATGAGGAGTGGACCAGGAGCCTCCTCACAGCCACCAAGGCCGAGTGGGGCTCTGAAAGTGAGGGTGTCAGCCCTCCGACTTTAACATGGTAGAGCCCGGGATCCTCAGACCTGGGAGGGGAATGGAAACACGGCCCACTGCAGGCAGCCGCCAAGGGGAGGGGTGAGGAGCACCCCCACCCAGCGCCACTCACCTCAGGAAGCAGTGGGCGGCTGTGAGCACCCAGCGTGGGTGGATGAGGAAGCCCCCACATACATGCCCCACTGAGGTCAACCACAGGCCAACCTGCCACGGCCAGCGTCCTTCCTGGGTGTCTTGGCCTCCCACAATCCTCCCGGCCTCCTTGGAGTGGCCGCATTCTGCAGAGGGATGGGCGGGTGGGAGACCTCAGCTTTATTCCCTCTCAGAAAGCCCATCCCTCCCGGTCTGACTCTTTACCCTAACATCCCTCTGCCCTTCTGACATCCCTTCTGACATTCCTCTGCCCTTGATGTCCAGGGATGAGGCTCCCAGGGCCAAGGGCCTCTGCATGTCCCCTGGGGCCAGTCCTCCCTGGCCAGGAGTAGGGGCTGTTTGAGTGCAGGGATGAGATGTCTACGGTACCTGAAGGCAGCACATCCCAATGGGCCCCTGGAAAGCAAGAGAGCAAAGGGGGGCACACAGGCTGGCAGGGGATGGGAGGGAGGAGAAGACAGAGGCGCATCCCTTACCTGGCAGCAGCCACAGCAGCAGAAGCAGGATGGGGCCTGCCCGAAGCCCCATGGCTCCTCTTCCCTACAGACACTGCACTGGGGTCAGAGTCCTTGGACGGCACCAGAGGTTGGGGGGGCGGGGGTGGCAGGTCATTAACCAGTGGCAATCACGCTGGAGCCCTCTGTGCCTGGCAGAACCCGCCCTCCTCAGATGCCGCTTGGGCTCCTGTCCCGCATGTTCCAGGGAGGTGGTTTAGAGGAGGCTGGGGATGCCAGGGCCCACCTCAGGCCAGTCCCTCCAAGGAGCCAGAGGTCAGAAGACCGGTCAGTCCACCCTACTGGGCTGCGATGTGGAAGCCCCACCCATCCTTCCGGCAGGCAGGAGATCCCCACTGCTTCACCCACTAGAAGCTCTGCTCAAGGCAGAGGTGGGGACCAACCCTCTTCACCCTGTCCCCAACCAGGAAGTGTGATGTCTCCACACAGGCCAGCCGGGCTGCCCCAGCCCACCTCCCGCCTCCCTTCCCACCAGAAGGACCTGTAGCTCCTGCAGAGCCCTCCTGGGGCACACCGTATCTAAGGGGCTGGAACATAGGGGAGCCCTATTCGTTGCTATGGGAACAAAGACAGCCAGGGTTCGGCCCCCCCAGACAGGAAGGGTCGACTCAGGAGACACGTTTTCCAGGTGCTACTTCCTCCTGCTGCTGCCACTGCCCAAAACCTTTGGCCCCCATCCCAGGGCCAGGGGCAGAGGCGGAGCCAGTCCCGAGGCAGCTGAGGACCCCACCATGCGCTTGGTGTTGTGCACGGCCTCCAGCCCGGACTGAAGTTGGCCTGACCCGAGAAGCCCAGGATCGCTGAGGAAGCTCCCCACTGTTGTCGCCTCTCAGCCCCACGCCCACTCATCCACAGGCAGCCGGGATGCTCACGCAGCCACGTCACGGACCTCATCTCGGCCTCGCTACGACTCTGCCAACAGGGGGCGCTGCAGGAGGCTACGCGGTCGCAGGGACTCCTTTCTGTCCGTTTCCGGCAAACTTCCCGCGCTCTTCCGGAGGTTGAGGGTGGTTCGCTAAACTTCCGGTGGGCTCCAAGAGAGTTTCCGGCGGACTTCCTGTGCGATCGGGCGGGGTTCCGGTCAGTATGCGAGTCCTGTGAGCATCATCTCAGCCTGGCCTCAGGCCCTGGAGGGTCTGGAAACTGAGTGGTCCCTCTCAGGAGGCAACCAAAAGACGTTCTCACTGGCTGACGATGGGACACTTGGAGCATCACTGTGGGCAATAACTTGGAGTGATTTAAATACGTGAGATAAGGCCGGGTGCGGTGGCTCACGCCTGTGATCCCAGCACTGTGAGAGGCCGATGCGGGCAGATCACCTGAGGTCAGGAGTTCGACACCAGCCTGGCCAACATGGCAAAACCCCATCTATACTAAAAATACAAAAATTAGCTGGGCGTGGTGGTGGCACCTATGATCCCAGCTACTCAGGAGGCTGAGGCAGGAGAATCGCGTTAACCCAGAAGCAGAGGCTGCAGTGAGCCGAGATCGCGTCACTACACTCCAGCCTGGGCGACAGAACGAGACTCCATCTCAAAAAAAAAAAAAGAAAAGAAGAAATCCATGAGTTCATATTACAAAAAAAACCTTTATCATTTTTGGAGTATGCTAAGGAAATAGTTCATTATTTTGAGGATAATTAAATAGATGCCAAAAACATAAACATTTTTAAAAATAGAATGAAAGAGGCAACAAAAATAAATAGATGATGAAAAGTTTCTCTTTATGGAGGAATTTCTGCTAATAAATGGAACAGGAATATCACCATGTTGCAATCTAATGGACTAATTGGTCTAGGGAATAATCCTCAACAGCTAGCTCATCACTACGAGACAGTCAACTGGTGTGTACCCCCTGATAGACTTTTCTGGAAAAATCAGAGGCCTGCAAGGCGGAGTTCAGCTGCATCAGGGCAACATCCTCGCTGGTAGTGGTCCCATGGTATGAGGGGTGGACCAGTAGCTTCCTCGCAACCACCAAGGCCGGAGTGTCAGCCCTCCGACTTTAACATGGTAGAGCCTGGGATCCACAGACTTGGGAGGGGAATGGAGACGCAGTCTGCTGCAGTCAGCCGCCCAGGTGAGGCAAGGAGTGCCTGAATTTGCCCAAGACTGCAGATCTGGGGTGTGGGACATAGGGACAGAGCCCAGAACAGGCAGAGCCTGAAGAGTCCACAAATCTGGACTGGGAGTCCAGAGGGAAACACAGAAACAGAGGAATATGTTAGAGACAGCATGGGGGCACAACCAGCAAATCCAGATGGTGAGATTAAAGGACAAATGATCAGTTATTGGACAGTGACAAAGAAAAAAAAGAGATGGAGGGGGCACCTCGAGAATAAAAGAAACTTAAGACGTATAGCAATCAACTGCAATGAATAAAGTTTATTTTGTAAGGGAAAATTGTGAAAGACTTTAAAGTGGACCCACAAAAATTACTGAGTAAATTCAATGGGGTTGTCTCTCATACTCTTCCAGGTTTTCTGATTCTGTGGGGGTCCCTCCCTTTGAGCTATTTTAAGACTCTGTAAATTGTAGATAACTGATAGGAATGCAGATTGTTCTTGTACATCTATTTAAGCAAATTAATTTCAACATTGCTGATGTGTTAAATATGTTCCTACTCTGAATTCTCCTTTGAACCAGTTGTAACATCTCACTGATTCTGTCATTAATTGAGTTAAATAAAAACACAGGCTGGGTGCAGTGGCTTATGTCTGTAATCCCAGAACTTTGGGAGGCTGAGAAGGTGGGATGATATTTTGAGGCCAGGAGTTCAAAACCACCCTGGTAAATATAGCAGACCCTGTCTCTCTAAAAGTAAAAAATTGACATGTATTAATTTTATATTTGTATGAGTCATGATTTTATCTTTTTAGCACATCATCCTTTAACAATTTATATTCTGATTCAAACGCACACATTGGAAAACATAAAATGAGCTGGGAATAGGAAATATGAATATTAATTATATTTGATATTGTTAATGAATTGTTGTTACTTTTGTTTAGTTTGATAATGATATTGTAGGTCTTTTTCATGGCCCTATCTTTTAGAGATATATACAGAAAAAAATATTTAATTGGTCTCAAAAATCCAGAGTGAAAATAGGCAGTCTCTGTGTCGCCCAGTTATGGTGAAATATAAATTAATGCACCTGAAACTGGTAGGTGTTCATTTTGTACTGGAAGTGAGGTAAGTAAGGTCAACTTTATGATAATGCCAGCTTCCTGTAGGTTTACAAGCAGAGATGTGTGTCCCTGGACAGGGGTGTTTATTAATTGGAATCTCGTGAGCAGTCCCTTTTACTTCTGCTAACATTAGGCTAGTGAGCACCATTGTTGTGGGGAGATGTGATGGAATATTTTGTTGGTGGACGGTTTAAGCCTGAAATGACCTTCTCAAGACCCCTTGATATGCAAATCTGAGAGATGGCATGAGTAAGTTTGCATAGGGCAATGAGCAGGTCTAAAAGGAACTGTCATTAAGCCTGTATGGGGTCCTCAGTGAAATAGCCACAACTTCCTGGTATGCAGATTAAACCAAGTGTCTCTTGGCTACGTGTCATGATACACAAGCTAGGCGACAAACAATACCAACACAGATACATCTCTGCAGCACTTCCTATAGCCCGTATCATTGCGGAACAGGAATTTGAAAGATGTAATTCGTATGTGGGAAATGTAAAGCAGCTGAAAGAATGGAATGCAAAATCCACCAACAGGAGAAAAACAAGAAATGGGAGTAAAACCGAATAGTAAATAAAGCATTAAGTAGCTGAATAAGCTACAGTTAGGAAACCAGTCACAAAAGTAGAGTTTAGTGAGGTTTGATATTATTAGAATTTCTCTTATTAAGTGGAATAGTCCCAACTGGGCCCATTAGCAAAAAGTAACCCCAAGGACTGCAAAGACAATTCTCCCTTGAGTGGTGTGAAAAGGAGGCCTAGTGTGCCCAGCTCCATTTTGCTCCTGTAAATCAAAAATAAAATACTAAGGCCCTCCAACCATCTGAATGGACCCCTCCTTTGGGCCAAGGGCATTCCAAAGTTAACCTGAAAAACTAGCTCAGGCCATGATGGGAAGAGGGGCTGGACATGCCTCATTATACCCTCCTTCCTTTTGCAATTCATAAAAGTGGACCAGCATTAACATCAATACAAACCTTAAGTCTGATAAGAAACATTTATAGTCTATTCTCTCTGAAACCTGCTACCTGGAGGCATCATCTGCATGATAAAACCTTGGTCTCCACACCCATTATCATAACCCAGAAATTCCTTTTTCATTTTGTTTTCTTTTGTTTGTTTGTTTGTTTGCTTTGTTTTGTTTTTTGAGATGGAGTTTCACTCTGTCACCCAGGCTGGAGTGCAGTGGCACACCCTCGGCTCACTGCAACCTCCACCTCCTGGGTTCAAGCAATTCTCCTGCCTCAGCCTCCCGAGTAGCTGGGACCACAGGCACCTGCCACCATGCCCAGCTAACTTTTGTATTTTTAGTAGAGATGGGGTTTCACCATGTTGCCCAGGCTGGTCTTGAACTGACCTCAGGTGATCCACCTGCCTCGGCCCCTCAAAGTGATGGGATTACAGGCGTGAGCCAACATGCCCAGCCCCAGACATTTCTTTCTATTGGTAATAACTCTTTCAACCAATTGCCAATCAGAAAATGTTTAAATCTACCTATGACATGGAAGACCCCCCTCCCTTCCAGTTGTCCTACCCTTCCAGGTTGAGCCAGTGTCAATCTTACATGTCTCAAGAGTTAGGAGGTCCCAGGCATAGGAGAAAGTCCCTTCAAGGGCTCAGGTATTAGGAGATGTATTATGTCTCCCTAAAATGTATAAAAGCAGGCTGTACCCCAACCACCCTGAGTACATGTCATCAGGACCTCCTGAGGTTGCATCACAGGTAAACCCTTAACCATGGCACAATAAACTTTCTAAATTGATTGAAATCTGTCTCAGATACTTTTGGGTTCACACCCCTAACCACCCTCCCACCAGGTGATATCTTTTTAGGTTAACTGCTTTTGCTTATCTCTGTGTGTAGGCTGAACTAACTGTGGGAGGAATTTAGTTTATAGTTTAAAGCAAGCATGATAATCCCTTCTCCAAACTTATCCCTGAGGAAATAAGGAGTGTGTACACACAAGTAAGAATGTTATGCTAAAGATTTATAGGAGCCTTGTGACCTGACCAAGGACAAAGAAGTTTCACAAGGCCCACCTCATACCGCTGCCCAGATGTCTGTGATTGTGAGTCACCTCTTATTTCAACCCTCCTCCTTCCCCTAACATAAAAGGAGCCTGAAATTCTATTAACTTAAGGTGGTTCTTTGGGACATTAGTCACCATCTTCTCGGTTTGCTGAGTTTCTGAAAGAAACTTGCCTTCCTTACCCCAACACCTTGTTTCTCAACTTATTGGCTATCATGCAGCAAGTGGTACAAGCTGTGGGCTCACATACGCAGGCTCAGCCCAAGCATCTGTTCATGTGCAGCTTGTGGCTGAGGCCAGAAGCCCTGATCACACAGGCACTGTGCTCTGTGAAATGATGGCTGGGCCTGTGACTATGACCTTGAAGACCTTTGACCTCAGATCCCATATGTAAGTCATCAGGGCAGGGGGCCAGTTGAGCAAAGGCTTCCCCGCCGAACAAGGGGAGGGTCTGTAGGACTAGGGAGACCGGTATCTATCCGCACCACCACTTGATGTTGAGCAAAGCAACATAACTGAATTGAAGGAATAATGGAATTTTCCAGTTTTCATAGGACTGGACCCTTTGACCCACGTAAACCTGTAGAATTCTTGGATACTCCATGGATTTAGTGGGATGGTCTCAAGAAAGAAAGGATCTCTGCTAAAAAGAGAATGTGGTGCTTGAGTAATTAGTTAGAAAAACAAGAGGGCCGGGCACCATGGCTTATGCCTGTAATCCCAGCACTTTGGGAGGCCGAGGTGGGCGGGTCACTTGAGGTCACGAGTTTGAGACCACCCTGGCCAACATGGCAAAACCCCATCTCTGTTAAAAATATAAAAATTAGCCAGGTGTGGTGGCAGGTGCTTGTAATCCCAACTACTTGGGAGGCTGAGGCAGGAGAATCGCTTGAACCTGGGAGGCAGAGGTTGCAGTAGGCTGAGATGCCACCACTGCACTCCAGCCTGGGTAACAGAGTGAGACTCTGCCTCAAGAAAAGAAAAAAAAAAAAGAGAGATATCCACACTGTCCACCAAACTGATGAAATAGATGATACTTATTACCATTAACTCATGAAACATTTACTAACGCCTACTATTTTGCCAGGCTGCAGTGAGCCATGATCACACCACTGGACTCCAGCCTGGGCCACAGACGAAGACCCTGTCTCTAACAACAACAATAAAAAGGTGGGGAAACCTGAAACTAACTGGGGGACCCTTTGAGGGTCCAAAATTCTTGTGGCTAGTTGGGAGCTCAAGGCCTTCATAATTTGGGTAATTTCTATGGGATTCAATTGTGCTGATGAAATCTGACATCCTGTGTCCATGAAAACAAAGAGTTTTCTGTAAAAAAATAAAAAGTTTTCTGCAAGTCTAAAACTATTATAAAATAGAAGGTTTGGAGTAGATGTACCAGTTAGGAATGCATTTAGCTGCAAGTAAAAGAAAATCCAACCAATCACGGTTTAAAGCAAACAAGAAGCCTGGGACTGGGTGCAGTGGCTCACGCCTATACTCCTAGCACTTTGGGAGGCTGAGGTGGGTGGATCACCTGAGGTCAGGAGTTCAAGACCAGCCTGGTCAACATGGGGAAACCCCATCTCTACTAAAAATACACACAAAAAAATTATTTTTGATGGGCATGGTGGCACATGCCTGTAATCCCAGCTACTCAGGAGGCTGAGGCAGGAGAATTGCTTGAACCCAGGAGGCAGAGGTTGCAGTGAGCCGAGATCTCACCATTGCACTCCAGCCTGGGCAACAAGAGCAAAACTCCACCTCAAAAAACAAAACAAAGGCCGGCGTGGTGGCTCACGCCTGCAATCCCAGCACTTTGGGAGGGCGAGGCAGGTGGATCACCTGAGATCAGGAGTTTAAGACCAGCCTGACCAATATGATGAAACCCCGTCTCTACTAAAAATACAAAAATTAGCCGGACATGGTGGCATGTGCCTGTAATCCCAGCTACTTGGGAGGCTGAGGCAGGAGAATCGCTTGAACCCAGGAGGTGGATGTTGTAGTGAGCTGAGATCACACCATTGCACTCCAGCCTGGGCAACAAGAATGAAACTCCATCTCAAAAACAAACAAACAAACAAAAAACAACAAGAAGCCTGGAAGGAGGCAGGCTGTGTAGTGCTAGGGCAGCGTCTTGACCTCGCCATCACACCCATAGCTGTTGAATCGTGGTTCACTGTCATTAGCGTGTCGTAAATGGCTGCTGAAGTCTGGGCATTGCGTGTGCATTCAGGACTAGAAGAAGGAGGAAGGAGAGAAAGGATGACGACAGCTGAATATGTCCCTTTAATCAGGGAAAAACAGTCTTCCTAAGAAACCACCCATCTCATGGGTCAACACTTAGTCCCATAGGCACACTTGACCATGCAGGAGACAATGAGCATTTAGCTCTTCCAGGTGGAGGAAGCAAAGAGAAGAGTTGAAATAGGGGCTGGCTCAGCAACCAAAGGAGCCTGCCACGGAGGGAAGTCATGTATTTAAGTATGTGCTTTTAAATGCTTGCTTCGGATGCAAAGTGGAGAAGAGTTAGGAGGTCCCGGGCATAGAAGGAAGTCCCCTCAAGGGCTCACGATTTGAGGAAGGAGTAGGCAGACCTCACAGCCTGCATCTAAGGCAGTTCCTGATGTAATGACATTTGTCGCGGAGGTCAGATGGTCCTCACCAGTGCTGTTAGGGAGACAGAGAGAGCTCTGCAAAGGGCTGTTCCATGGGAGAGGTGAAAAAGGAGGCAGAGCCGTCTGCCCAGGAGTCTAGGATGGGCGTGTAGCCGGCCATGTGGGACCAGTACAACTGGAACATGTGGGATTCCCTCGAGGAGACAGCCAGGCCTACGGGTCTCTGCAGCCCCTAGAGACAGGTGATGCTGGTGGGGCAGAGGTAGCGAGGTCCCCCCACCCAACATGGTTCACATGTGGGACTTGTTCCTGGTCCAGGCTCCAACCAGGGAGAAGAGGGCTGTTCTGTCAGCCATAGTCTCAGCATGTTCAGCAAAGTTTGGGGACATGGGCTGGCCCGACTCTGAGTAGGGTGCACACGCTATGAGCCAGCAGGACCCCCGAGGGAAGGGTCGCCGAGATGTTGGAGATGCACGTGCTGCCTGAGCCCCACAGAGGCTGGGGAGACTCTGTACCCACCTCCTGGAACCCCCCCCAGTTTGGGGAGGGCATCGTTGGAAGTCCTGTTGCCCTGCAGAGGCAGGGCTGACTTCCCGCTCCACCCCTAGCCTGTCCCTCAGGGCCCTAGGATCCTGTGGAGCCACTAGGGAAGGCACGAGAGGCTCCCTTAAGCTCAAGGCTGCCTGGAGGCGACCTCCCAACTCAGAGAAATCCCCACCCTCCCTGGTGAATCCTGCCACTTACAGGGTGGTTTCTCCGCCCCCCTCTAGGCGCTACATTCTCAGGGGCTTCTGTCAGGACCCTATTAGAGGGAGTAGATGCACACGCACCAGGGCCTGTGGAGGGATGGGGTAAAGGGACAGGCACCCACAAAACTGAGGGTCGGAGAATGAGAGTTGACAAGGAGGAGAAACAGGACAGGAGCAGGGAGAGGAGAGGAAAAAGAGGAAGACGAGGGGCAGGAGAGGGCTGGCCTGGCGGCACAGAGCAGTGGGGCAGAGCTGACAGGGCAGAAGGAGACACTGAAGGGAGAGACTCCAGGACAGGAGCAGGGGAGGGAGGTAGAGAAATGAGGGAGGGGGCACTCAGAGACAGAAGGGGGCAGTCGAGGAGCAGGGGCAGAGGGGGAAACCGAGTGAGGGAGAGAGGCCAGCAAAGGAGGGCTGGAGAGGGGAGGGGCTAAAGCCCACAGAGGAGATAAGAGAAGCCAGAGCATAGGGTGACATCAAGAGGGGACCAGGTCACAAAGGGAGAGGCCGTGGCGGTTGGCTCTGCTACCTGGCACACCTGAGTCACCCCAGCACTCCCTGGGCTGGTCACTCTGACAAACAGCAGGGCAGTTCTGGTTGGTTGGTTGGTTGTTTTAATAAAAACAACCCTAGGCCAGGTGCGGTGGCTCACGCCTGTAATCCCAGCACTTTGAGAGGCTGAGGCGGGTGGATCACGAGGTCAGGAGATTGAGACCATCCTGTCTAACACACTGAAAGCCCATCTCTACTAAAAATACAAAAAGAAATTAGCCGGGAGTGGTGGCGGGCACCTGTAGTCCCAGCTACTCGGGAGGCTGAAGCAGGAGAATCGCTTGAACCCAGGAGATGGAGGTTGCAGTGAGCCGAGATCGCGCCACTGCACTCCAGCCTGGGTGACAGAGCGAGACTCCATCTCAAAAAAAAACAAAACAAAAACAAAAACAAAAAAAACAACCCCATAGCATTTACTGTGATCTGATAATCATATAAAAGTAATCAGGCTGGGCCAGTGACTCACACCTGTAAGCTCAGCACTTTGGGAGGCCAAGGCAGGTGGATTGCTTGAGGCCAGGAGTTGGAGACCAGCTTGGGCAACATGGTGAAACCCCGTCTCTGTAAAAAATTTAAAAATTAGCCAGGCATGGTGGCACACGTCTGCAGTCCAGCTACTCGGGAGGCTGAGGTGGGAGGATCACTTGAGACTGGGAGGTAGAGGCTGCAGTGAGCCAGGGTCACACCACTGCACTCCAGCCTGGGCAACAAAGCAAGCCCTACCTTGAAAAAAGTAAATAAATAAATAAGGCAATCAAAACAGTATGAACAAATATTTTAGAACTGCACTTACAACAAAGGACACCAAAAAAAAAAAAACAAAAAAAAAACCCAAAAAACTAAACCTGTATTGCCTTCTCCAAACTTGGCCATGCCCTTGATCATTTCTGGTTGGAGATATTTCATGGCAGAGTCATAGTGTCTCTTCTTCAGCACAATTGGACCTGGTTGTTTTCTTGACCTGGCTTTGGGTGAATCTCTTCTGTATCGGCTACTAAGAGGGTCATATTCTCACCAAAGCCAGCGGCACAGCCCTCTAACCACATACCTATTTGTTACAGGGATGCTGGGGAAGGCCTGCATCCAGGCAGGCTGGGATGAGGGCCCTGGGTCCAGGAGGCCAGAGCCGGCTGCAGATGAGTGGATGTGGGGAAACAGAGTATTAGCCTGCATCCCTAAGCAGGCAGGAAGCCAGACAGACCCCTCCTCTCGGCTTGGGATCAAACTACCACCCCCCATGGGGACAGGTGGGGTGACTCAACCCCTGATGCCCGCAGAGCCAGAGGCCTGCCCTGCCACTGTCCGCTGCTTCTTCCAAACTGGGGAGTTTAGAGCTTTGGCAGTGAGTCGCTCGACAAATCGGCTCCTGGGGATGAGGACCCAACAGCCAGCCCACGGAGACGGGGCTCTGATGGGGCTCACCTGGGCGCCTCCCTCCACCACCACCCGCAGCTCTGCCATCCTGAGGCCCCTGAGGCCTGTGGTGGAGAGAGCAGAAGGGGGGGCTTGGCCTGGGGTAGAGAGGTAGCACCTCACTCTCATGGGGCTGGGTTTCTCCTCACCAGCCCTGTTTTGGAATCCAACGCACAGTTTCGGAGTCCCAACCCCTCTCCTCCCCTTCCTGAAGCACCAGAGCTGGGTCTTCCAGGCCTCTAGACTCTGCCCCTTCTCCATCGGCTGCCCTGCCCTGGTGGGAGAGGGATAAAAGGGAGGGTGGCCCAGGGCTGCAAAGGTCAGGGGTCAGAAGGCTGAACCCTAGGTGGAAGCAGGGGTCGGCGTCAGCCCCAGGTGGACAGGACCACGCAGTCTCTGGCTAGGCCAACATCCAACCCCCAACCTTAACCCCCTCTGGACCCTTGCTTTCCAGTGTCCCCAGGCATGGGAAAAAACAGACACTGGAGAATAAATAATTTATTGAAATTGGAGGAATAAATAAGATATGTGGGCAGGGTTACAAATACCTATAAAAATCATTAACATTTATATACACAAAAGCGGTGGGGCCCGGGGGCGGGGCCGGAAGTCGTGGGGGCGGGGACATGAGGCCGTTGGGCGGGGCCTGATGCCTTGGAGGCGGGGCCTGAGGCCGTCGGGCGGGTCGGGGAGGGGGTTTCCTTTCCGCAGCAGCCGTCCGGGCCCCCAGAGGTAGATGAGCCTATTTACGGCGGGGGAAACCGCCCGAGGCCGCCGCAGATCCAGATCCAGATCTGGATCTGGCCGCCTTTCAGATCCGAGCCCCGCGTCCCGCTGCGCCCTAGGAGCGCGCGGCGGCCCCAGAGCCCTGGCTCGGTGCCCTGAGGGCCCCACCCCCCTGAGCGCGCCCGCGGAGCTGCACCCCTTGCACGATCTTCTCCACCCAGGAGCGGTGCGCAGAGAGGCTGATGTAGACCCCGGGCCTGTTGCGCTCGGCACAGCCCTCGCCCCAGCTGATGATGCCGGCCAGCAGCCAGGCGCCGTCCACCTGGCACATGAGGGGGCCCCCGGAGTCGCCCTGCAGAGAGGAGGCGAGGTTAGGAACCCCCGTGGCACAGGGGGTGGCAGAATCCAGGGCCCGTGCCCTGTCAGGGGGCAGATGAGCCCCTTCCCGGGAGCCCGTTTCTCCTTCCTGGAGGAGACAGGACCTGAGCTCCACCCAGGTGAGAAGTCCCCGGCGGCAGAGTAGGAGCTGCAGCCAGGCCTTAAGACGTCCAGGCGCGGGTGCTGCCGCTGCACCATCTGACCGTCTTCCAGACAGCCCCTGAGCTACAGCTGGCTCTGGGCACTGAGGCGTGGGAAGCCCCCTGAAGGAAATGAAAGCTCGCGGAGGGCGAGGTGGTGCAGCTGGGATGCCCAGTTTAATGTCTGAACAAATAAGTGAGTGGCTGAGCCAGGCTGAGGCTGGTTCTATGGGGACCCGGGACTGTCAGGCACAGCCAGTTCTGGGGAGGAGGCCAGGGAGAGGTTGTGGGGCTCAGTGGGGACAGGACTGACGCTGGCTCCTTCCCGAGGCCCTCCTGGCCAGGGGTGGGGGGCTCGAGGGAGCTCACCAGACAAGCATCCCGCTCCCCCTCCAAGTAGCCGGCACACAGCATGTCCTCAGTGATGGGTCCCTGTCCTGCTCCCCGCCAGTACAGATGGCTGCAGACTTCCGAGTCGATGATAGGAACCTTCAGCTTCTGCAGGGTCTGAGGGTGGGGCAAGGGAACTGGGAGGAAAGAGGACAGAATCAGGTTTGGGGGTCTCCCCTCCTCGTTGCCTCCTCAAAGGACTATTCCCCCCCAACACCATTCCTCTCAGCAGCGGTTCTCAAAGGCTAACAGATTAGCTCTACCAGTCTCTCCCAAGATGCCTTCAGAAAATTGAAATTCCAGGTCTCCACCTCTGGCCCTGCTGAATTAGAACATGAATGTGAAACCTAAGACCCTACCTCTTTAATAAATTTTCTTATATCCACAGATGGTTAGAGCCCTTCCTGTCTCAGATACTGCATTACTTCATCCAGCACTGGGACTGCTATAGAAGAAGTGTTCAATAAATGTCCACTCGATGTTGAAAATTACCAGGACCTGAGGGATCCCCACGCCTTGCCTGGAGCTGGTCTACAGACTGTGGTCTGCAGATTGTGGACTGAAAGTCCGCGATTCTAGCTCTTGAAGAAGCCCCTACAGAGATCATGGAGAGGTTGCAACCTCAGAGTTACTGGGATCCCCACACACCTGAGCTAGTGTCATTTCTCTTAATTATTCTGGAATCTGGTTAAATTTTCATCTGTCTTACACTTTGTTATTACTTAGTCTCTAGCTCTCTCTTTCAAACTCTTTCTTCCAGGTCTTCATTGTATCCTCATTTCTGCCTGTATGTTTCTTTTCCTTGGCCCAGTCTCTATCATCCATCTGCCTGTCGATCTGTCATCTACCTTTCTCTTGCTGCTTCCCTGCTTCTTGCTTTATGTAATCTAGTTTGAGTTTTGAGATGATGTTTTCCAAACCTCCAGTGGTGGTTTGAAAATTATATTTTACAATTAAGGTGGCTGCATTTTCTCCCGAGAATTTTGCCCGCAATTGTGGCATGCTACCACCAGGGGGTGCCTGTTCCCACTCTGGAATCAGGCCTCTTTATATTCACCCTGTATTCAGCTTAGTCCCACACACACCCCCTTTCAGCCATTCCTGTATTGATGAATTGAATAGCTTCACGGGTCTGGCTGTTGCCTCAAAACATAGCCAGATACTTTTGAAGTAGAAATGAGGCCAGGCACAGTGGCTCACACCTGTAATCCCGGCACTTTGGGAGGCTGAGGCTGGTGGATTGCTTGAGCCCAACAGTTCAAGACCAGCCCAGCCAACACAGAAAAACCCTGTCTCTACAAAAAATACAAAAATTAGCCAGGTGTGGTAGCACACACCTGTAGTTCCAGCTACCTGGGAGGCTGAGGTGGGAGGATCACTTGAGCCTGGGAGGCAAAGGCTGCAGTGAGTTAGGATCACACCACTGCACTCCAGCCTGGGTGACAGAGTAACACCCTGTCTCAAAAAAAAAAAAAAAAAAAAAAAAAAAAAAAGAAGAAGAAGAAAGAAAAGAAAAGAGAAATGGCCTGAAATTGCCCACCAAGGTTTCTTCTGGATTGCAGCCCATCTTTCCTTCCACCTCTGTCATGCTGTGCCTCTGGCCTCCACCCTTTGTTGCTCATGGTGTCTGTGTCCCTGAGTGTCTGCCATCCTCTGTCCCCATCTGCCCCCAACCACCTTGGAGAGGAAGAAGCCGCACCTCCATCTTGGATGCTCCCCCAGCCTGAGATCCAGCAGTGGGTGTTTGGAGGGAGGTGGATAGAGGCATCAGGTAGGCAGATGGGCAGGACCCGCTCTGAGAACTGTATGGAGCGCTCGAGACGCACCAGGGCAATGTCTGCACAGGCACCTTCCTTCCAGGAATACACAGGGTGGGGCTCCACCCAGGCAACACCCACCTTCTGGGACCGAGAGCCAGGGTTCCCCAGCTGCCAGGCCCCCAGCAGCACAGAGAACAGGTATGGTTTGTTCAGGTTGCTGGAAGGAAAGGGAAGGGGAGGATCAGCCAGGCCTGGTCTGGGAGGAGGTACCTGGGGGAACAGCATGGGTGTGAAGGCCCCTGAAGGCAGGAGAGGCTTCTAGGTAGAATCGAGGGGCACCAAGATTGAACAGAGGCCCGGAAGCAGAGCCTGTAAAGGGAGCCCAGGGCCTGGGGCACAAAGCCCAGGGCCTTAGAAGATCAAGTGCCCCAGGCCGGCTGTACATACTCCTTGAAACAGTGGGCAGCAGTGATCACCCAGCGGCTGGTGAGCAGAGAACCTGCGCAGTGGTGGGTCCCATTCTTCTGGATGCTCACGATCCAGGGCCACTCGCTGTCAGTGCTGTCCTCGCCGCCCACAACCCGGTTCAGCTGCTGGGGCTTCCCACAGGCTGGGGGAACTGGAGGGTACGGTCAAGTTTTGTTATCTCCAACTTCCTACAACCCACCCCCGGAATCCCAATCCCTAGGCCTGCACCCCAAGCTTTGCCCACAGCCCAAGCTCCGTTCATGTCCCCAAGCTCTACCCACATCCCAAGTTTCACTTGCACTCCAAGCTCCACCCACACCCCAAGCTCCACCCACATCCTAAGCTCCACCCATACCCCAAGCTCCGCCCACCTCCCCGTCCCATCCCTCCCTCCATCCTCACTCTCTGCTGGTCCTCACCTGGCCCTGGCCTTTCCACTCACTCCTTGTCAGCTGCACCTGGTCTCTCCCTCCCCCTCTTTCCTTACCCTGCTTTCCACTCTGTTCACCTTCCTGGCTCTCTCTCTCCTCTGGCCCTGGCATCTCTCAAGCCTTTCTCCTTGCATCCGTGTCTCCTTCCTGCCTCCCTTCCCCTCTAGCTCTTTCCCCCTCTCACCCCAGCCCCTTTCTGACCTGTGCCCAGGGGACGGACACATAGACACTGCCTGCGCGTGGGCCTCCTCCCTTCTCCCTCCCGTCAGAGCTGCCAGCTCCACTCACCAGGTATCCTGGCCGCATTGAGGATGGCTGAGGGCAAGAGAAGGAAACGGTTAGGCCGGTGAGGGGCCCCAGGACACAGTGGTGAGGGGCCCTCAACGCCCAGTGAGGAAGGCCCCCAACACCCAGTAAGAAGGGATCCCAGTGCCCAGTGAGGTGGAGGTCCCAGCACCCAGTGAGGAGGGTCCCTCAGCGCCCAGTGAGGAGGGGTCCCAGCACCCCCTGAGGAGGGTCCCTCAGCGCCCAGTGAGGAGGGGTCCCAGTACCCAGTGAGGAGGGTCCCTCAGCGCCCAGCGAGAAGCCCCCAGCACCCAGTGAGAAGGGGTCCAGTGCCCAGTGGGAAGGGGTCCCAGCACCCAGTGAGGAGGGGTCCCCAGCGCCCAGTGAGGAGGGCTCCCCAGCGCCCAGTGAGGAGGGGTCCCCAGCGCCCAGTGAGGAGGGCTCCCCAGCGCCCAGTGAGGAGGGGTCCCCAGCGCCCAGTGAGGAGGGGGTCCCAGCGCTCAGTGAGGAGGGGGTCCCAGCGCCCAGTGAGGAGGGGTCCCAGCGCCCAGTGAGCAGGCGTCCCAGCGCCCAGTGAGGAGGGGGTCCCCTTGAGTACCTGGTGGTGAGGAACCTCTAGCCCTCCAGTGCCCAGGGAGACTCTCAAGTCTCTCAACCCCAGGGCCCCTACCGGCGGGGCATTTCCTGGGGCCTGGCCAGGCCCTGGCTGCACAGCTGTGACCCTGCCCTCCCGCAGCTTCCCGTCCAGCCTGCCTTCCGGGGACCAGGACCGGCTCCTCGAGGGAGGCACAGACCTGAGCCCCTCGGCTCTGGACGCTGCTGCCGCTGGTGCCCTCCCCTGACCTCCTGCGGCAGGAACAACACAAAACGGTGCTTCCCCAGAGGCAAGCAGCGGAGGACGAGGAGATGGGAGAACACGGAGGCGAGAGGGAGCAGGTGATGGCGACGCCGACGGTAACTGGAGACCGAGGCGCGCTGCGTACTTGCTGCGTTTTCTGTTTCATCCTCACAGCCGTAGAAGAAACCGAGGCACAGAGCAGTTAAGGAGCAAGAGATAAACAGAGCAGAAGCGGAAAGGAGATGAGAGAGGCAAGGCCAGGAGGGAGAGAGGGAGGGAGGGAAGGAGGGAAGGAGGGTGGAGGTGAGAGGGAGGAGGGAGGAGCAGCCTCCGGACGTACCTGTCGACGCCAGCAGCAGCAGGGAGGTGAAGGTGCCGAGACAGCCCCCACCCAGGGCTGGGGGCGCTCCAGAAACCACCATGGCTGGTGGGGCGGGGGAGCAGGCAGCAGGCTCGAGAGACCCAGGGCGATGCGGGTCAGGGTGTGTAGGTTCCCTGCAGGTCGCCCCAGGTTTTATCCTGGGAGGCGGAATGCCGTCAGACCAGTCCCCAGGTGGCTCCCGCGGCCACCCCGGCTGTGGGTCCTGGGCAGAGGGCGGGGCTGCGGGGAGGAAGCCAGCCGCTACAGGGCTCTGGGGGGGCTCTAGCTGAGACCCCAGGATGTGGCCTCTGGAAGGGCAGGGGAGGGGGCTTGGGCCCAGAGGTCCCTGACATTAATTGTCCAGGGGCAGAGAAAGGTGCCAGGGCACTGAAAGGAAGGGGTTCCGGGCTGGGGAGGGCCTGGGTTTGGAGAGGCTGAAGTCTGGGGTACTGGGTGTTGGGGGTGGTCCTAGGGCCTTAGGGATCAAGGGGGTGCCCAAAGCTCAGTAACGGCTCCCACCTGCAGGGCCCCAGGCCCCTGTGACTCAGCCCAGAGACCTGGCGCAACCCGGGCTTGGGAATCCCGTTAACCCACTTCCCGAAAGCTGTGAATCAGGTGAGTGGCGACCTTGGTGGCCTCCTGGTGGCCGCCCTCCTGTCGTTCCTGGAGGCGGGGCTCTGCCCTGCGGTTCAGACACCTGACAACTCACCTCACCTGGACTCCTGGGAAGGGGAGGAGCCCATGGGCACCAGGGCTCGGCCAAGCAGGGGGGTTGAGAGAAGAGGGGCCCCGGGAAGGGCTGGGACTCCCAGGATTCAAAGAGCTGCTGGGCTGGGCTGTGGGGGGCCGGGTCCTGGGCTGGGAGTGGATTCTCGGTGCTTCCCCCCAGCGGCTGCCACAGTGGCAACCCGGGGCTGAATCCTGTGAGACCTTCCCTGACTCAGTGCCCTGCAGCGCCCCACACTTGGGACACTCCCACCCAAGCAGGGCAGGCTTCCTCCTCTACAAAGAGGCAGGAGCCTGCGCCCCTTCACTCATTCGATCAACAAGCCTCCAGCAGGGCCCTTGCTACCGCCGGGGGTGAATTAAAAACAACCATAGTGTCTGGGTGGGGTGGCTTATTCCTGTAATCCCAGCACTTTGGGAGGCCAAGACGGACAGATCATGAGGTCAGGAGTTCAATACCAGTCTGGCCAACATAGTAAAACCCCGTCTCTACTAAAAATACAAAAAAAAAAAAATTAGCCAGGCATGGTGGCAGGCGCCCTTAGTCCCATCTACTTGGGAGGCTGAGGCAGGAGAATCGCTTGAACCTGGGAGGCGGAGGTTGCAGTGAGCTGAGATCACGCCACTGCACTCCAGCCTGGGCGACAGAGCGAGACTCTGTTTCAAAAAAAAAAAAAAAAAACCATAGTAGTGAATATGTATGTAATAAATATATTTATACAAATATAAATATAGTATTTATATAATAGAGCAAACATTTAGGAGTGCCATGCATTGCCTCCTAATCCTCAAATGTCTTTATTATTCCCACTCTGCAGATAAGGAAACTGAGGCAGCTTAGGGCGGTTAAGTGACTTGCCCGAGATTGCTGGGTGAGTGGTGGAGCCGGACCTGCACCCCAACACTGGGGGTGGCTGCTGGGACTGCCCTCATGGAGGCTTCGGGAGCCTGGAGGAGGTGCCTCACCCTGCCTGGGGTGAGCCCTAACTTGCTCCCTGCAGAGTCAGGGTGGCGTGGGTCAGGGGCTTAGCAGACCACCATGGCTGCTTCAGGGACTCCATGGCTCTGAGCAGGACGGGTTTTGCCCTGGGGGTGGACTCTGTGCTGCCCACCTCCTCAGTCTGTTAAGGGTTAGGGTGGCAGCAGGACGACTGGCACTTTCTCGTGGCAGAGAGGCCATGCCCTGCTCCACCGAGAGACAAGTCAAACAGCAGGGCCCTGGGGAGCCCCAGAGGATGCATTATTCTCTGTCCCAGGACTCAGAGGGGGTTTGGGGGAACTGCAGGAAAAGGCCACGCAGAGTGGCCAAGGAGGGGCAGTGTCTCTGAGCAGCAGCAGCACTGCAGCAGAAATTTCTGCTGGGCTCCCCCAACCCTACTCACTGTCCCCCGCTCAGCTCTGCACCCAGGGCGTCCAGGGCCCTCCTGCGCCCCACCCCACTGCCTTCTGGAATAAGGTGGGTGGCCTCTCCAGCTCACCCAGCAAACATATATTGAGTACCTGCTGTATGTCAGGCCCTGGTGGGCACCAGGACACATGTGATGAATAAGACGCAGGTCCTGTGCTCAGGAAGCACATGACCTCCTAGGGGTGGGAGGCAGATGACGGATGACAGGGAGGTGTCCGGGAGGTGGGCACAGAACCATGGGACCAGGCGGTGGCTTGGACCCTAGAGGGCCACTGTGAAGCTGGGTGCTGGGGAAACAGTGTGGGCAGGGGGGCTCCCTGTGGACCCCCAGGATCATATTCAGTGCCTGCTGCACCCTGGGGCTCAGCGAGTGTTTGTTGAATGTATAAATGAGTGTGGAAGAAGCAAGTCTGCAAGTGGCTGGGGACCGACCACTCCAGCCTCCCTCTCTGCCTCCCGCCCAGGTTTCCTCTCCATTCCAGCTTTTCTGCCTTTCTGAAGAGCCAGCTCACTGCCCTGGATACCCAAGGGTAGCCATGGGCCCTGCCCAAGATGCCGCTATCCCTGAGACAGGGTGGCCAGGAAGAGGGCCCCGAGGAGAAGGACCCGGTAGGAGCAGGGGGAAGCCCTGAGGAGCTGGGTGAAGATTTCCTGGCACAAGTCCTGGGGAAGGGCCCCAGACAGCAGTTCCTCAATTCCCAGGGTATAGAGGGTGGAGTCTCTGAAAGGCCACGGGGTGGAGACCCTGGCATGATTCAACATTCACTCAACAAAATATTTATTGAGCGCCTGCCAATGCTAGACCCACATGCTGGCCAGCATCCCTGCCTGTGCAAGCTCTGGATGAGCTGTGTGCCCCTGCCACCCACACCCCCACTCCCTGCCAGCCTGGCCTCAGGGCCTCTGATCCATGTGCACTGGAGTGGTGATGACTGACAGGGCCACTGGGGCATTTCCATGTTAACAGCAGCTGCCACTGGCAAAAGAAGTGACTCGCCAATGGTGGCATCTCAGATGTGGGCCCAGGAGTCTGGGGAGCTACTTTGAACAGGGCTATCCATTCATTGTCCCACCAAAGGCTATGGAGCCCACCCACCATGTGCTGGAGTAGTCAAGGGAAATAAGACACTCTCCTTGTCCTCGTTAACTCAATCAACAAGCATTTGCAGAGCACCGCCTGTATGCCGGCGCTGTCCGAAGTGCTGAAGATACAGCAATGAGCAAACCAAAAGCCATGGACATCGGATGAAACAGAGAATTGTAAACAATAAGTACATCATTTAGCTCTATGGAAAACAGGATAGAGATTTCTCAAAGAACTAAAACTAGAACTACCATTCAACCAGCAATCCCACCACTGGGCATCCACCCAAAGGAAAAGAAGTCATTTAATCAAAGAGACACCTGCACTCGTGTGTTCATCGCAGCAACACTGTTCACAACAGCAAAGCCATGAAATCAACCTAAGTGTCCATCAACAGATGATGGATAAAGAAAATGTGGTGAATATATACACAGTGGGATACTACGAAGCCATAAAAAAGAACACAAAACCATGTCTTTTGCAGCAATGTGGATGGAACTGGAGGCCATTATCTTAAGCGGAACAAGTCAAACACAGAAAGACAAATATTGCATGTTCTTATTTATTTATTTACTGAGATAGAGTCTCACTGTGTCACCAGGCTGGAGTGCAGCGGTGCAATCTTGGCTCACTGCAGCCTCCACCTCCCGAGTTCAAGCAATTCTCCTGCCTCAGCCTCCCAAGCAATTCTCCTGCCTCAGCCTCCCACATAGCTGGAACTACAGGCACGTGCCACCACACCCAGCTAATTTTTGTATTTTTAGTAGAGGCAGGGTTTCAGCATGTTTGTCAGGATGGTCTCAATCTTTTTACCTCATGATCTGCCAGACTTGGCCTCCCAAAAGGCTGGGATTACAGGCATGAGCCAGTGTGCCCAGCCTTTTTTTTTTTTTTTTTTTTTTTTTTGAGGCAGAGTCTTGCTCTGTTGCCCAGGCTGGAGTGCAGTGGCGCAATCTGGGCTCACTGCAACCTCTGCCTCCCGGGTTCAAGTGATTCTCCTGCCTCTGCCTCCTGAGTAGCTGCAATTACATGTGCACACCACCATGCCCAGCTATTTTTTATATTTTTAGTAGAGACGGGGTTTCACCATATTGGTCAGGCTCGTCTCGAACTCCTGACCTCAGGTGATCTACCTGCCTTAGCCTCTTAAGCATGTTCTCATGTATAAGTGGGAGCAAAGCAGCCGGACGCAGTGGCTCATGCCTGTAATCCCAGCACTTTGGGAGGCCAAGGCGGGCAGATCACGAGGTCAGGAGGAGCTAGAGACCATCCTGGCTAACATGGAGAAACCCCGTCTCTACTAAAAATACAAAAAATTAGCCAGGTGTGGTGGCGGGCGCCTGTAGTCCCAGCTACTTTGGAGGCTGAGGCAAAAGAATGGCGTGAACCTGGTAGGTGGAGCTTGCAGTGAGCTGAGATCGTGCCACTGCACTCCAGCCTGGGCGACAGAGCGAGACTCCATCTCAAAAAAAATAAAATAAAATAAGTGGGAGCAAAGCAATGTGCACCTGTGGCCACAGAGTGGAATAACAGACATTGGAGACTGGGAGGGTGGGAGGGAGGGAGGGGGCAAGGGAGAAGAAATTTGCTATTGGATCCAGTGTTCACGATTTGGGTGATAGACACTAAAAGCCCAGACTTCACCACCACACAGTATATCCAGGTAACAAAAATGTGCTTGTACCCTCTAATTTTTTTGGTTGTTTGTTTGTTTTTGAGACCGAGTCCCACTGTGTTGCCCAGGCTGGAGTGCAGTGGCACGATCTCGGCTCACTGCAAGCTCCGCCTCCCAGGTTCACCCCATTCTCCTGCCTCAGTCTCCCGAGTAGCTGGGACTACAGGCGCCCACCACCATGCCCGGCTAATTTTTTGTATTTTTAGCGGAGATGGGGTTTCACCGTGTTAGCCAGGATGGTCTCGATCTCCTGACCTCGTGATCCTCCCACCTCGGCCTCCCAAAGTGCTGGGATTACAGGCGTGAGCCACCGCGCCTGGCCTTTTTTTTTTTTTTCTGAGACAATCTCACTCTGTCACCCAGGCTGGGGTGCAGCGGCGTGATCTCAGTTCATTGCAACCTCGACCTCCTGGGTTCAAGCAATTCTTGGGCTTTCGCCTCTCAAGTAGCTGAGACTACAGTCATGTGCCACCATGCCTAGCTAATTTTTGTATTTTTAGTACAGACGGGGTTTCACCATGTTGGCCAGGCTGGTCTGGAACTCTTGACCTCAGGTGACCCACCTGCCTCAGCCTTCCAAAGTGCTGGTGTGAGCCACCATGCCTGGTCTAGTACCCTCCAAATCAATAAAGATAAAATTTTAAAAATCATTTAGTTCGTGCCTGTAATCCCAACACTTTGGGAGGCCGAGGCAGGAGGATCATCTGAGCCCAGGAGTTTAAGACCAGCCTGGACAACATAGTGAGATCCCTTCTCTATACATTTTTTTTAATTATTTAGTCTAATAGTTGTTGAAGTCAATGGGGGAAACCAAAGCAGGCAAGAGGTGTGGGGAGTGGGTGGGGGTTGGGGTGGATGAGGATGGAGGGTCGCAGTCTTAAGTAAGTGGCCCCAGCAGTTCTTCCCAATGAGGGTAACATTTGAGGAGAGACCTGAGATGGGAGAGAGCTGTGTGGAGCGCTCAGGGGACCGTTCCAGCCACAGGACAGCAAAGGCCAAGGCTGGGATGTGTGGGCCCAGGTTGGGGGTCTCAGGGCGCAGGGAGAGAGTGGCAGAGGGTGTGAGGCATGAAGGCCTTGGTCTTTGTTGAGGGGCTGAAGCCCCTCCGCCCTGGCTGCATTTTAGCGGGATCCCAGGAGGAGCCACGTTAACACCTGGCTGTGAGGAGGCTGGGGTGAAGCAGGGCTACCTGTCGGGCCCAGGACAGAGAAAATGGGGTGGAGAAAGGGATGGATTCTAGGTCTTTCTCTGAGGCCAAGCAGACAGGACCAAGGGCCAGAGGGCCAGTGCAGTGGGGGCAGTGGCTGCCTGAGGCAAGGGTTGTGGGCAAGATGGGGAGTGACTCTGGATCTGCTTAGCTGGAGACAAGGCCCAGGGTAGGTGAGCTCAAGGCAGAGGTCGGGTTGGAGGGAAACCTGGCATCTGGAGCCTGGGGAGGATTTAAAGTCTGGAGGCTATTGAGGTGACCAACGAGCAGGTGACATTTGCCATCGGAGACCACGTGGGCGTGGACAGCCAAAGAGTTCCACATCCCTCACTCACCTGCAAACGTGACGGGACTGGAACCGCCACAAAGCAGAGATGTGGGCGGCCAGGACAGTGTCCCAGGCCAAGGGAGCCCCTGTAGGAACTGACCACGCGGCTCCGGCACAGGGGCTGGGTGCTTGGGCTGGCCGGGGCCACCAGACCACTGAGGTCCTCCTGGGCCCCGTAGAGAAGACTCTGCTCAAGGGCGGGGAAGGTACTGCCAGCTTGCAGCAGAGTCAAGCTGGGATCTGAGCTGGGTTAGAGGTGTGGAGGGGACGCAGGAGGCAGGTGGGGAAGCGGGTGAGGGCTGCATCCAGGAAGAAACTGTGGCAGGGACTCTGTGGGAAATGGAGACGGAGCGAGGGGGATGGCAGGTGCCGGCGAGCCAGGCAGGTGGTGGGGTGACCAGCTGCCCGGGACGCCCAGGACTGAGAGCCTGCCTGAAATATTCTCCAGCAGGCTGAGACTGTTGGCTGCCCCAGGCGGTGCCTCTGTCCGCTGTGATGACGGAGGTCGGCAGAGCGTTTCAGGCCCAAGGGTCCCGTGGTTGCAAATTTAGGAAGGTGGGAGATAGAAGTCTAGGATGCCCCGGTGTCTAAGTGGGGCTGAAAGAGGCAGGTCTTCAGTGTCCCTTTAATCCCCCCACCCCACCCAGAGAGGGGCTGCGGTGGGAGCCGTGGGGGGTGGAGAGGCCTTGCGGGGGTGACCGTAACGTGCTGCCTGCCTCTCCTCCGCAGTTTCAGTATTTATGGAACTCTGACCCTAGCTCAGAGGTGGCTGGCTGTGTTTTGTGCAAGGAGGGGCTGGGTCTTTCGGGGCTGAGGAGGTGGGGAGGCTGGTGGAAGGGGAGGCCACCAGGAAGCTGTGAACTTGGGTGTGAAGCCACCGTGATCCAGGCAAGCTGCCTGGCCTCACAGGGCCTCTGTTTCCTCCTTGGCCCAGCGGCTTATTCTGGGACCAGAGCGGTAAACTGGCTGTGGAATCCAACCTTCCGGGGGTCTTTTTAGACCTGGCCACGTTGCTTGTTTTTTCTAAATTGAACAAATACGCATTTTTTAAAAAAAATCTGAATTTCAAATGATGCTGCTGTGAACATGGAGGTATAAGTATCTGTTTGAATCCCTGCTCAAACACACGTGTACACGGATATTCACTGTGGCATCACTGACAATGGGTGAGGTGGAAACCACCACATGTCCACGGACAGGCGAATGGGTGAGCGCAGTGCAGTCTATTCCCACCGTGGGAGGACGCGCAGCCTTAGCCTCAGCCTGCATGGACCTTGAGGACGTTGAGTTCAGTGACAGGGGCTGGACACAAAAGGACAGACACTGTATGATCCTCCTAAGAGAGGTCCCTTGAGCAGTCAAATTCATGGAGACGGAACAGAATGGGCCAGGCGCGGTGGCTCATGCCTGTAATTCCAGCACTTTAGGAGGCCGAGGTGGGAGGATTGCTTGAGCCCGGGAGATTGAGACCAGCCTGAGCAACATAGTGAGACCTTGTCTCTACAAAAAATACCAAAATTCGCTGGGCATGGTGGTGCATGCCTGTAGTCCCAGCTACTCAGGAGGCTCAAGTGGGAGGATGGCTTGAGTCCAGGAGGTTGAGGCTGCAGTGAGCCATGATCATGCCACTGCACCGTGCAGCCTGGGCAACAGAGTGAGACCTTGGAAAAAAAAAAAAAAAGAAGGGAGGGATGGACGGAGGGAGGGAGGGAGAAAAGGAGGGAGGAAGGCAAGCAGGCAGGAAGGAAAATGTGGGTGCCAGGGGCTGGGGAGAGAAATGGGGAAGGAAGGAAGGGAGGGGAGGGGAGGAGAGGGGAGGGGGAAATGGAAAGGAAGGGAGGGGAGGGGAGGAGAGAGGAGGGGGAAATGGATGAGAAGGGACGGAGGGAGGGAGGGGAACGGCGGGTGCCAGGGGCTGGGGAGGGAAATGGAGAGAGTGTTTTCTGGGGCAGAGCTTCAGTTTGGGAGGATGCAAAAGTTCTGGAGAGGGATGGTGGGGTTGGCTGCACGGCCGTGTGAATGTGCTGGGCGTTACTGAACTGTGCACTTAAGCAAGGTTAAATGGCCAATCTTCCCTATATTTTACCACAACTAAAAAAATAAAGATGTCTGGATTCTCACTTTTTCATGAAAAATCAGAAGCTCTGATTGCAGAACAGTCCCCACCTCATCCCCCTGTGACACTGGCCCTATACTGGGTCCCCAAATGCAGGATCCTGGGGTGTTTGAGTTCTGGACACTCTTGTTAGCAGTTGGGGTCTAGGACAGAGCCAGTGCTCCATCCGCTCCTCAGGTGACTCAGGTGAGGCTCCAGTTAAGCTGGACTGAGCAGAGCAGAGCATTGCAAAGCAGCCCAACAGTTCCTTCCTCCCCTTGTGAGAAGGGCTGAGGCCTCCCAGGGCTAAGTGTGACTGAGTAAAGGGCAAGCTGGCTGCTCTGCGGGCAGGGTTTTCTGGGGCACTAATGGTTTTGAGGAATCTGGCCTGTTTGGCCCTGGGAATGTTGCAGGACCCGCTGAGGTAACACTGCTCACCAGCTGGCATTTCACCACCTTCCCACGGGGATGTCCCTCTGTCTGATTAAGCTTCTGAGCTGCCCTGGGAACCTGTTTCCTTCGTAGCCTGCCCAGCACTTGGGGCTTCCCTGCCTCTTGGTGACTTGGGTCAAACTGGGTTCCAGCCCATCCTAGGTTCCAGTCCTCTGCCTCCACTGTGGGCTCCTTGAGGCCTCAGCTCTGTCCATCTCAGGCCTGGCCCCCAGACTCTGCCCCTCCTCACTTTCCACCAGAAACCCAGCCTGGATTTCCCACAGCTCAGTAGCTTCCTGAAGCCTCGGGGAGGTCCAGAGGGCGGCCTCGAATTGCCCATCCTGTGTCCAGCACATCCAAAGCCAGACACAAGCAGCCCAGCATCCTCTGTCTCTTCCACCTGGGACCAGCCAGAACTGACTCTTGCATCTCAAAGCCCCAACACTGGGAGCTCAGTCTGGAAGAATTGCGCCTCCTCCACTGCCTGGAAGCAGAGAGGGAGGGAGGGAAGGACAGGACAGGGTCTGGGCAGCTGGGATGCAGCCCGTGGGAAGAGTCGAGCTGGGGTAGTGACACAGAGGAAGTGGGCGAGCAGGGCCAGGTGATTCCCTGGGTGTCCGTCACCAGGCTGGGCAGCTCCTACGCTGTCCGTGACTCATCAGTGACACAGAGGAGGGGCAGGACCTCAGAGTCCTGAGATCAGAGGTCATGGTGGGGCTATCTGCCAGCTTCAGAGAGTCTGCAAATCACAGGAGAGGAGGTGGCTGACCACACGGAGATTAGTCACATCTGGGGGTGCTGTGGGATGAGGGACCCCAGTTCAGTTCCAGAGTGAGCTGTGCAGAGCTGGGATCTGCAGGTCTCTGCCTTCAGGGCCACCTGCTTAGCTGTGACCTAGTCCCCCATGTGAGCTGGGCAGCCACGTCAGGCCTGCTGGGAGAGGAGGCAGAGAAACCAGCTCTGACCACCCCCGCAGGTTGTGAAGCCAAGTCCAACCCGTCCTCCTCCCCCTCATCCTTCCAGGGAAATGAGTGTCTCTGATAATCACTGCGAATGAGTGGCTTCAATGATAAGTCAGAGTGTGGAGTTTCTCCACCAGGAGGTCAGACAGCTCTGGGGCAGAGGGGCACATGTGTGTGGGGAAAGTGGGTCAGCAGCTGGAATGGGCTCACCCCTCTGTGCCGGTGGAGACGCAGCTCCCACTTCCACTCCCACAGCTGTCCCTTCAAGCCATAATCTGGGCGCTGGGGACTTGGACGTGCAACAGGCATCTCAAAGTAGGAAATGTGGAGAGTCACTCCAATCCACCCCTCCCCCGGGCTTCCCTGCTCAGAAAATGGCCCTGCTATTCATCCGGCTCTCCAGCCGCGAGCCTGGATGTCGCCCCTGGTTTGTCCTTTTCCTCCCCGCCTGTATCTGTCCATCAGCAGGTCATGGCGTTTCAGACCTGGAAGTTGCTGGTGGACGCAGGCACTTCCCTCCATGTCCACAGGGCCCCATCCATCTCCTCTGCAACAGGTGGGCGGGTACCCTGGGGTCCCTCAAGTCTCTTGTCTCAGGAATCAGAGCTATTTAGTGCAACATAAATTACATCATGGCACTTCCCAGTTTAACTTTCTCTAGCGGGGCCCACTGCTTTCAGGAGATCCTGTAATTCCTGGACTCCCTCGGGGCTCGGCGTCATCAGCCCCTGCTGACCTCTCTGCCTGCCGATGGTCACCCTGCCCAGCTCACTCCTGTCCAGCCACACTGGTCCTCTATTTGCCCTAAGCCCTTTTCTACCTAAGGGCCTTGGCACACGCTGCTCCATCTATCCCTGTTCAGAGCTGACAGGTCTCCTCAGGTCTTAGTTTAAGTGACACTCTCCCTCTTATTCTTTTTCTCATCCCTACAGGGAAAAGTAAGGAAGATACGAAATGAGCAAGTGAAATGATTGTATATACTTTCAAGGGGAAGCTGGAGCCACCAGGGATTACCCCATCCTATAGGGGTACTCACCTTGCTTAGGCTACTCTGTAAAGACAGAAGTTCATTGGCAGGAAACTGATAGTGATGTAAATAATCCCTGTGCATAGAAATGCTACTGTGGGTATCGACTGTTCTGACAGCTCCATATCCACTGGCGAATTCACTTCAGCATTACTTATCAGACTGTAAGTGTATGGTGCTTTGAATAAGTTGCTATATATATATAATTTTTTTTTTTTTAGATGAAGTCTTGCTCTGTCACCCAGGCTGGAGTGCAGTGGCTCGATCTCTCAGCTCACTGCAATCTCCGCCTCCTGGACTCAAGCGATACTCCTGCCTCAGCCTCCCGAGTAGCTGGGATTACAGGTGCCCACCACCAAGCCCTGCCAATTTTTGTATTTTTAGTAGAGACGGGGTTTTGCCATGTTGATCAGGCTGGTCTCAAACTCCTGACCTCAGGTGATCCACTGGCCTCAGCCTCCCAAAGTGCTGGGATTACAGGCATGAGCCACCGCGCCTGGCCGAACATTACACTTTTAACAGCTTAGTATTATATCTTCAGTGCCTGTCAGTTAGTGGCCTCCCAATATTGTTGAATCAATTGATGAATTAAGTGAAACACCATTTATAAATTTTTACTTAATAAAACAAGCTACAAATTATATTCTTTTTTTTTGGATATTATTGGAATCATACTGTGACATTATCTTAATCTGCTTTTAAAATTCAATATGGCATCTTCTCATATCAGTAAACCATTCATAACATGATTATTAATGTCTATATAATATTCCACTATAGAATTGTTACGGTTTGGATGTGTCCCCAAAGTTCATGTGTTGGAAACTTAATCCCCAAAGCAAGAATGTTGAGAGGCGGGACCTTTCCGAGGTGATTAGGTCATAAAGCTTATGCCCTCCTGTATGGATTAATGCCATTATTTTGGGAGTGGGTTGGTTATCATGGGGTGGGTTCCTGATAAAATATATGAGTTCCACCCCCTTACTCTCTTATGTATATGCTCTCTTGCCACGTGATGCCTCCCGCCATGTTATGAGGCAGCAAGAAGGCCCTCATCAGATGCAGCCCCTCAATCTTGGACTTCCCAGTCTCCAGAACCATGTGCCAATGAATTTCTGTTTATTATAAATTACCCAGTCTCAGGTATTCTGTACCTGAGCAACACAAAACAGACTAAGACAACAATATACCATAATTTACTCAATCCCATGCCCTCTGATACTGGACATTCATTCTTTTTTCTGTTGTATGTAATGTGTCAGTAAGTAACCTTGTTCATCAATCTTTGAAAGAATCTCTGGTTATTTCCTCAAGCTACATTCCTAGAAGGGAAATTGCTAGGATAAAGGTTTTAAATGTATTTACAGTTTTTGATGACATATATTATCAAACTACACTCTTGAAAAGTTATGTAGTGCCTAGGCATAATAGCTCACGCCCATAATCTCAACACTTTGGGAAGCCAAGACAGGAGGATCGCTTGAGGCCAGGAGTTTAAGACCAGCCTGGGCAACATAGCAAGACCCTGTCTCTACATAAAAATTTTTAAAAATCAGCTTGGTGTAGTGGTGCACACCTGTAGTTCCAGCCACTTGGGAGATTGAGGCAAGAGGATTGCTTGAGCCCAGGAGTCCACGGTTGCAGTGAGCTATGATCGTGCCACTGCACTCCAGCCTGGGCCACAGAGTGAGACCCCGTCTAAAAAAACTAAATAAAAGAGATAAAACTTGTATGTGATTTGTTTTTCTTCCCTATCTTTACCATAGAAAAATAGGATCCAAAAATTTCCGCAAATATCCTGGTAGGACTTGGAAACTCAGTCTTTCTTGCCCTTGAAGAAAAGAGAACTAGTTTTTTGGTTTTTAATGATTTGGTGTCAAGGTCTGCTGTAAAAGAGGAGAACAGTGGCTTGAGGACAGAGAAGACAGGAAATACCTCACCTAGACACCTAGACACAGGAAGGAGGAAGGATTTTCCAAAGCACAAAAGAGGGGAGAAACTGAAAACTTAGGAAAGTTCTCTGAGGGGGGCATTGCTCAAACATCCAGGAGCCCCAGGGAGCCAAGGCCCCACTGGTTGACCTCAGGCTTGAGGTTCAAGGGAGTGCCCAGGGGTGCTTCACTGATCAGAATCTGGCCCCCATCCATGCCTGCCCTGCCCAGGGCTGTACTACCAACGTCCACTTGCTCCCACACCTGGTACTCCCATGCTCCCCTAAGCAAGGCAGATTTTCAGCTCTGGTAGAGCCAAACTGAATGTCAACTGTAGGTTGATAAACAGCCATTTCCCCAAGTCCCCAGGTGCCCCTTACTGCCCAGCTGCTCCAGGCCCTCCACTATCCTCAAAATCTAACACTTAAAGAGTGAATGCCTGTTTTCACACAGGGCCTCCAGCATCTCCAGCAAGACTGTTCTGATTGTCTCATGCCTGTAAAGAGCTGGTTGTTAAATATGTGGGTCAGTGCAGAAACTGACCTGAATAAGTCCCAGGCTCCCTGGGCTGGGATCCTCATTTCTCTTGCTTTCTCCTAACCTGATTAACTGTGAGCCTTTACAGACTTGCTATCTATAGGTCCATGGTCTCTCTCAGGGTACATTGTACCAGATCCACAGTTTGCAGGGCTGAAGCCACCCCGGGATCATCTGGGCCTCAGTTCCAAAAACTGTTTGCTACTATACTCAACACACCACCTCGCTTCACCCTTCTTATTCTGCCCCAAGCATTGTCTTCCCCACTGTACACATGAGGAAATTGGCTCAGAGAGGGAGGAGTTGATCCCAATTCACATGGCTAGGAAGTAGAAAGGCCAGGACTCAAGCAGAAAGGAAGTAGAAAGGCCAGTCACAGGGCCATTTTAAGACCTTGATAAGCCTGGAGCATTCTCAGCTTTGAAGCCCCCATCACATGGCTTCGAACACATGAGCATGCACCTCCCTCTGCAGAATAAATGCAATGGACCCACAACCGTGTGCTCTGAGTTGCACTGGACCAGTGGACATAATTATGTCTAGGAGACATTTAACAAACAACTATGTAATTCAACTTGGCAACTCCATTTCCTATTTCAGAGTAAGGATAATTTTCCAGGACTCAGACATTTTTGTAAGCCCTACATTGCTGTAATACCAAAAGCCTACAATACGTTGAAACTTTGGTCTTCTCAAAGCATGCCCAGCTCCTCCCCTTCTCTCTGCAGTATAATCCCCATTTTACACACAAGGAAACCATAACAGGGTGCCTCTGGATACAAATAGCAGAGTACTCCGACTCACAATTGCTGAAGCAAAATAACATGACTCTATTATTGTGACTTTATTATTCCAGGAAATGCTTGCCCAGAAACACAAAAGTTGCAAATAACCTTACTCCTTGAGTTCAGGAAAATCCATTAATAAAACCACACAGCTCTTCAACAGGGAGCATCAAAGAAAGCTCCAAGAGTCTTTGAAGCCCTCACTTCACTGTGACCACCAATACAAAACTGTGACCAACAATCCTAAACTATTATAACATGATCCTTACCCAGCCCTGATTAAGTCCGACATCAAAGGACCTGCCTTAAACCAAACCCCAAAACCTCAGTATCTCAACTTTGCCCTCCCGACCTCCACTCTACAATGACTCTTTCAAGGTGGTGCTTCCCCTTAGCATAAGCAACAACCCAGTTTTGTCTTATCAGCTGCTTGCTTTGATGCTATTTCCAGGAGCCAGCATTTGAAGAGGGAACCAGGACCAACACGGTCGGCTGTGTCCAATGAGGTAGGATGAAGCACTGGAGTAAATTTCCCTGGAGAGGTGCGCACTGCCTGCCAACAAGAAAGGGGAAAGCAGTGAGCTGAGATCGCCCCACTGCACTCCAGCCTGGGCGTCAGAGTGAGACTCTCAAAAAATAATAATAATAAAACATTAAAAAGGCGGGGGAGGGGGGGCGGGGGGGGTACCGGAGAAGCAGGCGTCAGTGTTCTACTACAGTCCCACAGTAGTAGAACGTAGTCATGGTGTCTTTGCTATTCGTGCTGAATAGCTGGTGTTTTCCAAAGTAAGTATAGAATTAACTATACTTATTATTATTATTATTATTTTTCTGAGACAGTGTCTCGCTCTGTCGCCCAGGTTGGAGTGCAGTGGCGCGATCTCCGCTCACTGCAGGCTCCGCCTCCCAGGTTCACGCCATTCTCCTGCCTCAGCCTCCTGAGTAGCTGGGACTACAGCGCCCGCCACCACGCCCGGCTAATTTTTTGTATTTTTAGTAAAGACGGGGTTTCACTGTGTTAGCCAGGATGGTCTCGATCTCCTGACCTCATGATCCACCCACCTTGGCCTCCCAAAGTGCTGGGATTACAGGCGTGAGCCACCGCGCCCGGCCAACTAACTTATTTTCAAAATAAGTATAGAATTAACCAACCATACCTCCTTAATTGATGGTTCTCTTAATCTTGATTCCAAGGGTCTTAACTATCTGGATGTACTCATTGTATGCTAAACAGACACCAAAAGGATTGACTAATCTCATTTTTATGTACAGAGAATCAATTCCCGAAAAATGCTGCAGGTTTTGCATTTGTTTTAAAATTTTAAAGGTCATAATATTTATTAATACATATTTATACCCTTAGAATTCCCAATCTGGCAGCAAATAGAGTCCCATTCTATTATGCCATTGAAAGTAATGATAAAAACCGCAGTTACTTTTGCACCAACCTAATAAAACCATGATTAAAAAAATAATAAACATTTAAAAAGCGGTGGGGGGAGTGGGGCGCGGGGGCGAGCCGGAGAAGCAGGCGTCAGTGTTTGCTAAAGAAACCAAGGCCCAGAAGAGAGTTAAATGTTTTGCCCAAGGTCAGGCAAAGAGTTGGCAGGAGGTCTAGAGGAGAATTCAGGCTTCCTCATCTAAACTCCAAGCTTTTCCGCCCAAGCAGGGCATGCCCTGGGGCCAACCCCTCCAGGAAGCCTGGGTAGTGTCCTTCCCTGCATTTCCCCAGTGGCTGCTGCCTCAAGGTGACTCAGAAGGAAGCTGTTGTCTCTAGTTCCTCCTCACCAATCCAGCTGGTCTTAGGATCGGGAAAAAGATAAGCTAATTGTCTGGTGGTTAATTAACTCCAGCCAACTAATGATCTGAACTTGCCGCGGATACCCAGCCAGCGGAAGTGCGGTTAACTGCCCGAGGGATGCCCCGAACACCGGCCGAGCCAACTTCCGGCCGCAGAGGCTGCCGGGCAGGGGTTATGGCGGCCGCCAGAGTGAGCCAGCTTGGTGTCCGGGGACACTTGGGGCACTGCGGATGGACAGCGCTGGTTTTCAATACCAGGGACCTAAGTCCGGGTGGGGAGCGGCCCCTCAGCGCCCCAGACCCCTGCCACGGTGCCGGTGACGGGCCACGCCCAAAATATCAGGAAAAGCGTCTCAGTCCTCCTTGTGGGCGGAGAAGAGACCCAGCGGCCGAGCCCGGGGGCCTCAGATCCCCAGCTGCTCATTGGCCTGTGTCTGTCGCCCCCCGGTGGCCGCGTGAGGGACTGGAGCCCGGCTTTGCTCCTCCCGTTGGCCTCGTTTCTCTTCCTGGCTTTGCGTGTCCCGACCACTAAAAGCCCCAAACATGACGAAGTAAAATGGGCACCGTCAAAAACCGCATTTGAAGACAGTGCGCATGAGCGCATGGTTAAGTTTTCAGACGTTTTGCAAGCTGGATGTTAAATACATTTTTTGACGTCATTGTTAAAAAATAAATTTTATGAGCCTACAATTAAATACATTATATTAAAAACAAAGGTAGACGCCTGCGCGGTGGCTCACGCCTGCAATCCCAGCACTTTGGGAGGCCGAGGCGGGTGGATCACCTGAGGTCAGGAGTTCAAGACCAACCTGGGCAACATGGTGAAACCCCATCTCCACTAAAAGTACAAAAATTAGCTGGGCGTGGTGGCGCGCACCTGTAATCCCAGCTACTTGGGAGGCTGAGGCAGGAGAATCGCTTGAACCTGGAGGTGGAGGTTGCAGTGATCTGAGATCATGCCACTGCACTCCAGCCTGGGAGACAGAACGACTTACTGTCCAAAAAATAATAAATAAACAAATGAAGAAAGAAAACACTCAAAATGTATCACTGGTTAATTGTTTTGCTGTTTTACTACTATCTGTGTTCTTGGAGTGATTTACATCCATCTTATCTGTATGGTGGGAATACTATATAATAGTGTGCTATTGCACGTTTCTTTCCAACTCTATGTTCAATGACATCATATTGGAGACTTGAAATCGGCTATGGTGGGAATATTTACACCATAGAAATTGGTAAACTGTAGAAATCAGGGCTTTTTTTTTTTCTTCCCAGAAAGTCAGTTGTTAAACATTCAGCAGCATACCACTGGAGTCAGACAATAGCCAACGTGGAGAGACAGAACAAGGTCCGTGTCTTTTTGGGGTCAGCATAGGAACATAATCATTTTCTGCTTTATTAAGATTCAGCGCAGAAACTGACACATGGTGCTCCATGAGTGTTTGAGGAAGAGCAGGAGAGAGGAAATTATGTGCTTCGCTGGGCTCTCAATTTACTTATCAGTTTGCCTAACCTTGACCCTCACCGGGACTCTTACCTCAACCTTTTCTCTCCAATTATCCTAACAGCCCTTGGTGCACCACGTGCAAGGCCTGAATGCTAACAATTGAAAGCGTTTCAAAAGCGAAAGTCAGCCAGGGAAGGATTTTGAGTTGGGGGTGATAAAATCAACTTTGCTTTAGGATGAGAATCAGCCATCTGTTTGTGGAACAGGTTGAGGAGAGGAACAACCAGCAGCAGGGAGACCAAGACTTTGTTCCACACTGACCGTGTGTTAGGCCTGTGTAGAGAGAGATGGGGCTGCAGGGGTGAGCTTAAGCCGCGATCCTTGGCTCCAGGAGCTCAGTCTTCTGAGGCAGGAGATAGTAAACAGACAATCACTGTGACTGTGATGTACACACTGGGGGAGAAGGCAGGTTGAAGTCCTGGAGAGCAACTCACTCTGCCTGAAGGAGGCAAGGAAGCAGTGAGCCAACCCAGAACTCGTAGGGCTTACAGTCAGAGGGACGCTGTCAAAAAAGGGAAGACAGGAGATGACAGCATGTGAAAACTGCCTAGGCAAAGCCTGGAAAGGAAAAACCGCAGGAGACTGATGGGAGATGAAGCTGGAGAGGGTTAGAGTTTCTCACTGCAGACTGAGCATTTTTGAGACGGGGTCTCGCTCTGTCACCCAGGCTGGAGTGCAGTGGTGCGATCTCAGCCTCCTGGGTTCAAGCACTTCTCTTACCTCAGCCTCCTGAGTAGTTGGGACTACAGGCACATGCTACCACGCCCAGCTAATTTTTTGTATTTTTAGTAGAGACAGGGTTTCACTGTGTTAGCCAGGATGGTCTCGATCTCCTGACCTCGTGATCCGCCCTCCTCGGCCTCCCAAAGTGCTGGGATTACAGGTGTCAGCCACTGCGCCTGGCAGGGGAGGTTCTTTACTGTTCTCCAGGCTTGAGCTCTCTTGTCTCCAGCGAACCAGCTCTTCAGCTGTGTCTCCTGCCCTGTCTCTGCAATCTAGCCAAGAATGAATCCTGATTCCGCAGCGTGGCCGAAGGTTGGTGGCTGTATATCTGGCCCACAATGTCCTTTATCCCCAAAGCTCCATTCAAGCATGTCTGTCTGTCTATCCTTTTATCTCTTTTCTCTCTCAGCATTTTGTAAAATTTGCTCAACTTTAGCATATAGCTGGATGCCTTGACTCACAGTGAATCCCTCAGGTTTTTTTTGAGGCAGGGTATCATTATATTATCCATGCTGAAGTGCAGTGGTTATTCACAGACGTGACCATAGTGCACCACACCCTTGAACTCCAGGGATCAAGCCATCCTCTTGCCTCAGCCTCCCGAGTAGCTGGGAACACAGGCTCATACCACTGAGTCTGGCTACCAATAATTTTTATTTTAACAATCTGTAGGTCAAACCTGAAAAACCGCCTCTAAATAACTTATAATTTTGATATATTTACGTTTCGATCCTTATGATGTTTGCATTTTGTTTCTGTATTCCAGGGTTGCAAGCATATTCTACTTTTCCCAATATGTTTATAGTTTGAGGTTTTAAAAACATTTTTATGAACAATATAAAGATATACTATTTTCCAAATATGTTAAGTAATTTTTTCAGCAATGTTTATTGAATCAATCATCTTTTCATTCCCCAGTGATTTAAAATGACATCAACGTAAGATATATCTGTATATATCTGTTAGGGTAAAATTCATTTGTGTGATCGAGGAAGCAGAACCCTCAAGGAGCGATGTAACATAATTACAGCAGGGCACAGTGGCTCACGCCTGTAATCACAGCACTTTGGGAGGCTGAGGTGGGTGGATCCCTTGAGATCAGGAGTTCAAGATCAGCCTGGCCAACATAGTGAAACCCCGTCGCTACTAAAAATACAGAAATTAGCTGGCATGGTGGCACATGCCTGTAATCCCAGCTACTCGGGAGACAGAGGCAGGAGAATCGCTTGAACCCAGGAGGTAGAGGTTGCAGTGATTGTGCCACTGCACTCCAGCCTGGGTGACAGAGCAAGACACTGTTTCAAAAAAAAAAAAAAGAATTAGGCCAGGCTCAGTGGCTCACGCCTGTAATCCCAGCAATTTGGGAGGCGGAGGCAGGAGGATCAGTTGAGCCTCGGAGATAGAGGCTGCAGTGAGCCGTGATGGCAACACTGAAATCCAGCCTGGATAATGGAGTGAGGCCCTGTCTCCAAAATAAATAAAATTAAATTAATAAAGTAAGTATAGGGATTGGATTTTCCGTGACTATGGGAGCAAGCCCAGGGAGCTGCCTCCAGTTGACTTCTGCACCTACGTTGGCTGAAGCTGGTTGTAGCAAGGAGCGCTAATAGGAAAAAATTATGTGTGAAGCAGGGAGTGTGAGAAGATGGAGCCACATCTGTCTCTCACTGCCTACAGCCTCAATATCAAACAGAATAAGCTGCTGCCTGCTACCTCAACTCTGCACACGCCTGGCTCAGACTCTGAGCAGCCAATGGAGGAGACATGGTGGGAGCTGAGGGAGCCGAGGGCCTGGCTACTGCCCAAAGCGGGCAGCACAGTGAGCTACGATGGGGACTCATCCCCACTCCCCACGCTGACCCCAGAGCTGCATGGCTGATGCTTCACTTAAACCTTCTGATCTTGCACAAACTTCTCTTAAGGCCAGTCATCATAACATGGAAGGGAATTCTGAAAAGATATTCCAGGCCAATTCTCATCAAAACCAAGCTGGGGCCAGGTGCAGTGGCTCATATTATTTTATAAATAATAAAAAAGTATTAAAATTTGTTCGCTGGGCGCGGTGGCTCATGCCTGTAATCCCAGCACTTTGGGAGGCTGAGGTGGGCGGATCACAAGGTCAGGAGATGGAGACCATCCTGGCTAACATGGTGAAACCCCGTCTCTACTAAAAATACAAAAAATTAGCCGGGCGTGGTGGCGGGCGCCTGTAGTCCCAACTACTCAGGAGGCTGAGGCAGGAGAACGGGGTGAACCCAGGAGGTGGAGCTTGCAGTGAGCCGAGATCGCACCACTGCACTCCAGCCTGGGCAACAGGGCGAGAGTCTGTCTAAAAAACAAAACAAACAAACAAAAAAATTGTTATAGAGTTGTTACATCTCCCACTATGATTATAGGGGTTACTTTGTCAATTTTTATTTGTAATGTGCCCATTTTTTCTTTATATCTTTGAGGTTATGATGTTAGGTGCATACAAACTCATGATTCTTAGGTCTTCTTCTCAAAAAAAAAAAAAGAAGGAAGGAAAGAAGGGGAGGGAAGGGGAAGGGGAAGGAAGGTTAGGTTCAAGCTATATTTATCCCACGATTGAAACCAAATACTTTAGGAATGTGTGTGCCTAGGCTTTGCGCATTGGTAATTTGATTCTGAGCTGACATCTACTGAAATAAACATTCCTTCCTCACCCATAAAGGCCAGGATTTTTTTCAACACTTAAAACATCTGATTGAAAAAAGACAATGGAACCCCAGAATGAGGAAAGTATCAATATAAAATATATCAGTGAATGTTTTCAACAATGTAACAATTAGCTTAACAATTGACATGCAGTATAAACAAGTAGTAATTTTAGTGTAAAAAGGTTATGAAAATATGCAGAAAATACACGTCTAAAGTCAAGAAGCAAAAGATATTTTAAGGCCAGGCACTGTGGCTCATACTTGTAATCCCAGCACTTTGGGAGGCCAAGGCGGGTGGATCACCTGAGGTCATGGTGAAACCCTGTCTCTACTAAAAATACAAAAATTAGCCAGGCGTGGTGGCACATGACCGTAATCCCAGCTACTCCAGAGGCTGAGGCAGGAGAATCACTTGAACCCCAGGAGGTGGAGGTTACAGTGAGCTGAGGTCACACCACTGCACTCCAGTCTAGGCGACAGAGTGAGACTCCATCTAAAAAAAAAAAAAAAAAGACATTTTAGTTTTACTTTCTGGTATTTAAGATAAATTATGTGGAAAAAGTGAAATTACTGATGTTCAAACCATTTTTGAGGGGCAATTTTAATA